>NW_016107313.1:0-171263 GCF_000001405.40 Homo sapiens | reverse complement strand
CAACCTCCGCTCCCAGGTTCCAGCAATTCTCGTGCCTCAGCCTCCTGAGTAGCTGGGATTACAGGCTTGTGTCACCACGCCTGGCTAATGTTTGCATTTTTAGTAGAGACAGGGTTTCACCATGTTGGCCATGCTGGTCTTGAACTCCTGACCTCAAGTGATCTGCCCGTCTTGGCCTCCCAAAGTGCTGGGATTACAGGCGTGAGCCACCGCGCCCGGCCTATGGTTTCTTTTTCTTTCTTTCTTTTTTTTTTTTTTTGTGGTGAGGACCCTTAAGATCTACTCTCCCAGCCGGGCGTGGTGGCTCATGCCTGTAATCCCAGTACTTTGGGAGGCCGAGGCAGGCGGATCACGAGGTCAGGAGATCGAGACCATCCTGGCTAACACAGTGAAACCCCGTCTCTACTAAAAATACAAAAAATTAGCAGGGCGTGGTGGCGGGCGCCTGTAGTCCCAGCTACTCGGGAGGCTGAGGCAGGAGAATGGCGTGAACCCAGGAGGCGGAGCTTGCGGTGAGCCGAGATCGCGCCACTGCACTCCAGCCTGGGTGACAGAGCAAGACTCCAGCTCAAAAAAAAAAAAAAAAAAAAAAAAATCTACTCTCCCATGCTTGCCTCGGCAGCACATATACTAAAATTGGAACGATACAGAGAAAACTAGCATGGCCCCTGCGCAAGAATGACACGCAAATTCGTGAAGTGTTCCATATTTAAAAAAAAAAATCTACTTTCCTGGTAAATTTCAAGTATAGAGTACAGTATTGTCAACCATAGTGGCAAAGCTGTACAAGAGATCTTCAGACCCATTCCTCCTGAATACCTGATAGTTTGTATCCTTTGATCAACATCTCCCAATTCCCTCCCCCACACTGTCCCTGTAGTTCTAGTGAGTTTCCCAGACTCTGATGTCTCAATTTCATTCAGTCACTTTCCTCCAGATACATCTACCCATTCCTACTGCATCTTAGTATCCTGAGCCTTGGGGGCAGTTTCTGTGCCAAGTGGAAATGTGGAAATGAGATATTACGAAGAAAAATCTTTGCCCACCTAGACAGGGATCTGATGTTTTCCAAGATGACACATGATTACATGTTGAAATGATAATATTTTGAGTCTACTTGTATAATAAAATAATATTTTGGATCTATTAGGTTAATATTTTGGGTCTGTTGGGTTAATAATATTTTGGGTCCATTGGGTTAACTTAAATTAATTTTATCTGTTTCTTGTTAGCTTTTTAATTTGGATACTAGCAAGTTTGAAAGAATGCATGTGGTTTGCATTATGTTTCTATAGGACAGAACTTACCTGTAGATGTAAGGGAGTCACAACAAAATTACAAGCATTGTTTTTGGTGGAAATGAGAAAAATGATTACAAATTTACATGGAAAAGCAAATAGCCAATAATAATAATAATGGCAATCTTAAAGAGGAAGGAGAAATTAGAGGATTCAGGCTGCCAAATTTTAAGGGGTTCTATAAGGCCACATAAAGTGCAGCATCCTCATGAGAGTGGACACAGAGAGCCACTGAGCAGAAAAGAGTGTGTAAAATACATCTGTGTACACACAGTCCTTTTATAGTTGACAGAGGCTGCCATGCGGATTAAGGTGGAATAGAATGTCTTCTCAGTAAATAACATTGGACCAGAGGGTTACAAGCAGGAAAAAATAAATCTAAGCTTATTTTCACACCATAAAAACACTGCTAATTTTTTATCTTATTATCATACATTTTGATGATTTATTTATAAAATTGATGAATGAAAATTATATACAGTTGTCCTTCACTATTCATGGGTGATTGGTTCCAGGAAACCCCCCTCCCTACCAGACACCAAAATCTGCAGATGCTCAAGCCTGTTGCATGAAATGGCACAGCGTTTGCATATAACCCATGCACATCCTCCTGTATACATGAAATCATCTCTAGATTACTTATAATTCCTGATACAGCCTACACACCACCTCACTTGTGTCCACACAATATAGTATTTTTGCTTTTTGGAACTTTGTGGATTTTTTCTCTGAATATTTTTGATTTATATTTGGTTCAATAAACACCTGTAAACCCCACAGATATGGAGGAGCGACTGTATATTTATAGTATGAAAGATGATGTGTTGACATGTGTCCCTGTGGAGATGAGACTAACAAGGCCTATGACTCTACAAATGTTTCATCTTGGAATGACTCTGCCAGCTTTCCAGGTCTGCAGAGAGTAAGAATATCACTTGTTCATGTGATTCACGATCCTTGGAACCTCCTATGTGCTGCATCTTTGGATGGAAATTGGAGTCCCAGAGACAAATGAGGCTCCACCCTGCTTCCAGAAGCTCAGAGTCCAGGGCTGAGAACCCAGTAGAGAACATATCAGGTTATATGGACATAGTAATGATAACACTGGAAACTTTTGGCGAATAAAGAGTCACATTATCGAAACCATGAGGGCAGACATGTTTATTTGAAGAGGAGAGAGCTACACTGAAGTTATAAAAAAAATTTATAAATTTTACTGATGACAGAAGGCTGAAAGATAGTCTGAGGGGAGGTGGAACAGCATGAGGGAAGGTGGAACAGCAAGTGTGTAAGTGCCGTGTTAAGAGGGAGCCTCTTGTATGTTTGGAATTGTGAGTTCCTCAGTGTGATTGCAGCCTCAAGTAGGACTAGGAAGTAAGCCAGTTAGGTTGGAGAGGTGGGCAGGGGTCAAGTGAAATAGATACTTGTGGGCTAAGCAAAGGAGTGTGTTTTCTCTGCAGCAGGCAGTGGCGACCTTAGGCATTTGTAAGCAAGAGAGAGGCATGTTCAGATTCGTGGTGTGAGGAAGAGCGATCCCCTAAGATGCAGACTGATGCCTTCAGATTCCAGCTGCTGGTTCATTGGATCTGGCAACCTGGTTTTGAGACAGGGCTGTTGTCTCCCTAGAAAACCCCCTCAAGACCTGACTGTGGTGCTCGTGGGCAGGAGACAACTTTGGATCTGGGCTCAGCATTTGGAAGTTCCGTGTACACGCTGGTATCTGTTAGGGGTGTCTTGGGCCTCTGAGAAGGGCGACTGATTTTTCTCTGTATGAAAACGCAGTGATCCAACTGTGCGTACGTCACCTCCTGAGGGTCTTGTTCATCAGAGTCCTGGAGAGAGGGAAATGCTGAGTGAGGGAGGGTGCTCACATTTTTCAGGACTATTAGGGATAAGACTGTATCCGTGAGGCTGGGCCGAGGAGGACCTACCTGCCTATTCACTGTTCTGTCCCCCGCAGGCTCTTGGTCCATTACAGCAGCATCTGTAGGAGACGGAAGTCATCAAAACCGCTTGGAGGGCCCTTCTGGGTCCTCATTTCATGGGCAGACACCAACCCACAGGGGGAGGCTGTAGGTGCCTGAGGCTCTTCAGCTGCCAACATCCAGACTCAGACATTCTATCTCTCTGAGTTCAAGACCCCATCCCATGAAGTGCTCTCAATTGGCATCCCATTGATTCTGTCTCCCACTTTCTGCCTGTCATGGAAGCTTCTGGATGTCAGTGGCTGCAGGGGATGTGAGGATACAGTTCAGAACCAGGCAATGGTCTGTGAGCTGAAGGCAGGGGCAGGTTGTCTGGTGCTCTCTCTAGAAAGCCCTGCCTCTGTGGCTCCTCCCTTGGGCCAGGGACCATCCTGCCAGTGAGGAACACACACCCGCGTGCTCCCATCCTGCTTCCCCACATGGCCCTGAGCTCTCTGGCCTCTGCTTCGTGAGACTTACTCTTTTTGTTGGAGCACCAGCGATAAAGGAGAAAGAAGAGGAGGAGGATGAAGAGGAAGATGACCACTGAGGTCCCAATCAGAACATGCAGGTGTCTGCAGATACCTGGAGGAAGATGGGAATCCAATAAGAAGCTAATCATAGCAGTTCCTCTTTATGGATTGTCTCATTTCTTGATTGACAGGTAACCACATGGAACATCTCCTTAGGACAAGCAGCCTGATGGCGGGAGACCCAGCTTTCTCCTGCTTTCTCAGTTACAGCTCTCATAGAAACCATAGAACATGCTGAGGATACAGCTGCTTTAGTTTAGATGTTTGACCCTTTGAAACCTCACACTGAAATATTGAAATTTAACCCCCAGTGTGGAAGTTTGGGCCTATGGGAAGGTGTTTGAGTCATGGAGGTGGATCCATCATGAATAGATTAATGCTGCCCCACATGATGGGGTTAGCAAGTTCCCCCTCTATTAGTTCCCGGAGGGCTGGTTGTTAAAAAGAGCTTGGAAGCTCCATCGCTCGCCCTCCCCCTTGCTCCCTCTCTTGCCATGTGATCTCTGTGGTCTCTGCACAGACAGACCCTCCTTCCCTTCTGCCAGAGTGGGAGCAGCCTGAGGCCGTCACAGGAAACAGATGCTGGTGCCATGCTTCCAGTACAGCCTGCAGAACTGTGAGGCAAACAAATCTGTTTTCTCTAGAAGTTGCCCAGGCTCTGGGATGCAAGGCTGGTTCAATATATGCAAATCAATAAATGTAATCCATCATATAAACAGAACCAAAGACAAAAACCGGACGATTATCTCAATAGATGCAGAAAAGGCCTTTGACAAAATTCAACAACGCTTCATGCTAAAAACTCTCAATAAATTAGGCATTGATGGGACGTATCTCAAAATAATAAGAGCCATCTATAACAAACCCACAGCCAGTATCATACTGAATGGGCAAAAACTGGAAGCATTCCCTTTGAAAACTGGCACAAGACAGGGATGCCCTCTTTCACCACTCCTATTCAACATAGTGTTGGAAGTTCTGGCCAGGGCAATTAGGCAGGAGAAGGAAATAAAGGGTATTCAATTAGGAAAAGAGGAAGTCAAATTGTCCCTGTTTGCAGATGACATGATTGTATATATAGAAAACCCCATTGTCTCAGCCCAAAATCTCCTTAAGCTGATAAGCAGCTTCTACAAAGTCTCAGGATACAGAATCAATGTACAAAAATCACAAGCATTCTTATACACCAATAACAGACAAACAGAGAGCCAAATCATGAGTGAACTCCCATTCACAATTGCTTCAAAGAGAATAAAATACCTAGGAATCCAACTTACAAGGGATATGAAGGACCTCTTCAAGGAGAACTACAAACCACTGCTCAATGAAATAAAAGAGGATACAAACAAATGGAAGAACATTCCATGCTCATGGGTAGGAAGAATCAAGATCGTGAAAATGGCCATACTGCCCAAGGTAATTTATAGATTCAATGCCATCCCCATCAAGCTACCAATGACTTTCTTCACAGAATTGGAAAAAACTACCTTAAAGTTCATATGGAATCAAAAAAGAGCCTGCATTGCCAAGTCAATCCTAAGCCAAAAGAACAAAGCTGGAGGCATCATGCTGCCTGACTTCAAACTATACTACAAGGCTACAGTAACCAAAACAGCATGGTACTGGTACCAAAACAGAGATATAGATCAATGGAACAGAATAGAGCCCTCAGAAATAATGCCACATATCTACAACTATGTGATCTTTGACAAACCTGAGAAAAACAAGCAATGGGGAAAGGATTCCCTATTTAATAAATGGTGCTGGGAAAACTGGCTAGCCATAGGTAGAAAGCTGAAACTGGATCCCTTCCTTACACCTTATACAAAAATTAATTTGAGATGGATTAAAGACTTAAACGTTAGACCTAAAACCATAAAAACCCTAGAAGAAAACCTAGGCATTACCATTCAGGACATAGGCATGGACAAGGACTTCATGTCTAAAACACCAAAAGCAACGGCAACAAAAGCCAAAATTGACAAACGGGATCTAATTAAACTAAAGAGCTTCTGCACAGCAAAAGAAACTACCATCAGAGTGAACAGACAACCTACAAAATGGGAGAAAATTTTCGCAACCTACTCATCTGACAAAGGGCTAATATCCAGAATCTACAATGAACTCAAACAAATTTACAAGAAAAAAACAAACAATCCTATCAAAAAGTGGGCAAAGGACATGAACAGACACTTCTCAAAAGAAGACATTTATGCAGCCAAAAAACACATGAAAAAATGCTCACCATGACTGGCCATCAGAGAAATGCAAATCAAAACCACAATGAGATACCATCTCACACCAGTTAGAATGGCGATCATTAAAAAGTCGGGAAACAACAGGTGCTGGAGAGGATGTGGAGAAATAGGAACACTTTTACACTGTTGGTGGGACTGTAAACTAGTTCAACCATTGTGGAAGTCAGTGTGGCGATTCCTCAGGGATCTAGAGCTTGAAATACCATTTGACCCAGCCATCCCATTACTGGGTATAAACCCAAAGGACTATAAATCATGCTGCTATAAAGACACATGGACACGTATGTTTATTGTGGCACTATTCACAATAGCAAAGACTTGGAACCAACCCAAATGTCCAACAATGATAGACTGGATGAAGAAAATGTGGCACATATACACCATGGAATACTATGCAGCCATAAAAAATGATGAGTTCATGTCCTTTGCAGGGACATGGATGAAATTGGAAATCATCATTCTCAGTAGACTATCACAAGGACAAAAATCCAAACACCGCATGTTCTCACTTATAGGTGGGAATTGAACAATGAGAACACATGGACACAGGAAGGGGAACATCACACTCTGGGGACTGTTGTGGGGTGGGGGGAGGGGGGAGGGATAGCATTAGGAGATATACCTAATGCTAAATGACGAGTTGATGGGTGCAGCACACCAGCATGGCACATGTATACATATGTAACTAACCTGCACATTGTGCACATGTACCCTAAAACTTAAAGTATAATAATAATAAAAATTTTAAAAAAAAGCTCATCAGAAGCACTATACAAAAAAAAAAAAAAAAAAAAAAGAAGTAACCCAGGCTCAAGTGTTCTTTTATAGCAACAAAAATGGACTAAGACAGCAACGTCCTGAGATCAGGAGGAACGTCTCAGAACAGCCTGTGCTGTCTTCCTGTTCTTCCTGGAGGAGGACGTCATGCAGTGCTTTAGCTGAGTGCTTCCTGTGGCTTCAGGGTACAAAACCCAGGCTGGGCTATTTTCTGGCTTCCCCCAGATACACTGCAAATGAGGTGACTCCATATGTCCCGAGCAGCTTTTCTGAGCCTTGAGGGACTGGCTCACGTTGAAATGTAGGCTTCTGTTGTCACTCGCTGCTTATCTGTTAGTAATGAACCTGCCTATGTAACGTATTCTCTGTGTGTTCTGTCTCCCTGGAGTGACGGTGAGTGATAGAAATTGGCATAGGCCCAGGTGCAGTACAGCAGGTGTTTAGAGTCTTCTCTGGAAAGACTGGACTGGGATTGATACACAGTGAATGTGCTTTACAGTTTCTACATCCACAACCCTCTTGACTCAAATTACATTCTCCAAGAAAAGGACACAAAAGTGAAATCAAGATCAAAAAAGCAAAGTAGAATTCTCTTATGTCAAACAGCCAGGAAATAATGATGAAGCCCATGTGAAACGTGCTACTCTTTGTGATCTCGCGAGACACATGTTAGGCTGCTGTTCCACCTGAGAGGCTGGGGGAAAGACCACCCCCTCCACCATCTATTGCTTCAAAACCACCTGTCCTCCTGTGAATTAGTAGGAAAGGGGAGCAGGAGCTAGTGCTGGTGCTGATCTCTGATTCCAAGATCTGAACTCACTCCAAGGAGTATTAGCGTTTACCTCCCCATGATCTATCTGTATCTCCACAGGTGATTGGAAGTAGGGGTGAGGTGGGGGATTTGGGTGAGGGGGAAAGTTTCTTGTGATGAACAGAGCACTTTCCCTATTTCAGGGCCTGTGCTGGTGGGTTCAGGGGGCTTTCATATTTTCCATATGATCTCATGTTCACAGAAAGCCAAATATGGAAGAGGTTTTAGGCTGATTTTCTAATGGATAAGATAAAGGATCAAAGAAGTAATTATAGAGGAATAGAAAAATGATGATTGGAATTCAGGTGCCTGCATCATTTGTGTATATTATTATATTTATGTATTTTTTATTTTTATTTTTTGAGACAGAGTATCCCTGTGTAGCCCAGGCTGGTGTGCAGTGATGCGATCTCCACTCACTGCAACCTCTGCCTCCAGGGCTGAAGTCATTCTCCTGCTTCCTCCTCCAGAGTAGCTGGGATTACAGTCATGCACCACCATCATGCCTGTTTAATTTTTGTATTTTTAGTAGAGATAGGGTTTCTCCATGTTGGCCAGGCTGGTCTCGAACTCCTGACTTCATGTGATCCACCCGCGTTGGCCTCCTGAAGTGCTGGGTTACAGGCGTGAGCCACCGTTCACAGCCTTGTATATTATGCTATACTAGGTCCCTTCATTTGCACCACCCCTCATCTAGCTCTCCCTCCTCTGCCAGGTATTGATTTAGATGCAGGAGAAATAAATCTCAGAAATAAGTTAGTGAAGCGAGGATTAAACTACCAGGAAAAATTAAACCCAGTAAGCGTTTCCAGTCAATGATTCTACCTCACAAACATATCTTATATCCATCTACTTCATTCATTTAGTGTCTAAATCAGCACCACATTTCACCAGTGGGGCGGCAATTGCCTTTTCCACGGTCTCCTAGATTCCAGTTATGCACCTGAGCCTCCCTTATTTTCATGTCAGTCATATTAATCATGTAGGGATTCCTGGTTACCCCGAGGTGAATCCAAGGGCTGTGAGTGTCAAACACACACTCCTTGTTGCTCCTTAGTTTCCTGTGTACCCAGTGTGCTCTCCGTCTCTCCACAGTCGTCTTGTCATTCTCCCCATCTCATTCCCGGCATTTCAGGCAGAGCCTCTTCCTTCCACATCAGATTGTTTTCACCTTTGTGCCTTCACGGCTGACAGCTGTGTGGAAAATCCTTCTGCCAATCTTCCAGGGGTTCAATCCGTGTTTTTCATTAATGTCACAAATATCTGATTAGTGAGAACTTCTCTGTCACCTGAAATCATACACTCAGCATTATCTATTATTGATTTGAAAATTTGGCTTGGCCCCGTGGCTCATGCCTCTTATCCCAGCGTGTTGGGAGGCAGAGGCTATTGGATCACCTGAGGTTGGGAATTTGAGACCAGCCTGGCCAACATGGTGAAACATCCTCTCTACAGAAAATATGCAAAAAGAGTTAGCCGGGCGTGGTGGTTGTGGTCTGTAATCCCAGCTACTGGAGAGGCTGAGGGAGGAGATCAGTTCAGCCCAGGAGGTGGAGGTTGCAGTGAGCCGAGATCATGCCACTGCACTCTAGCCTGGACGACAGAGCAAGGCTCCGTCTCAATAAACAAGTAGGTAAATACATAAATAAATAGATTTCATGCACAGATGCTTCTCAATAGATCATTCATTTATTGGTCCCCTTGTGCCTACATTTTCTGCCCTCCCATTTAACCATCTGCAAGATCAGTGTCCCAAGAACAGAGGCCAAATGCATCTTGTTCACTGTTTGTGGAAGGCAGGAGAATGTTGTCCCACCCCAAAAATGTCCATGTCCTAGCCTCCATAGCTTGTGAATATGTTATTTTACATGAAAGGAGGAATGAAGATTGCAGATGGAATTATGGTTGCTAGTCAGCTGAACTTAAAAGGAGGGTATCCTGGATGATTTCTGGGAGATTATGATGGATTTTCATCTTGGTGAACCCAATAGAATCCCCAAGTTTTCAAAAGAAGGGCAAGAAGGGAGAGCAGCATTCAGAGAAAGAGGTGTGGTAAGGAAGAAGGGTCTGAGTGATGCCATGTGAGATGTGACCAGTCTTTGTGGGCTTTGAGGAAGGAGGAAGGGTACCAGGAGCCAAGGAACATGGGAGCCTCTAGAAGCTGAGAAAAGTGAGAAGCAGATTCTTGCCTGGAACCCTCAGAGGGAAGGCAGCCTTGCTGTCACCTTGATTTTAGCCCAGTGACATGCACGTCATGCTTTGAGCTACAGCACTGTAAGATAATTAAATAACCGTTTTGTTTTCACCCACGAATCTTGTGGAAATTTGTTATGGCAACAATAGGAAAAGCTTCCACACTGCACAGCCTGAGCATGGGGCCGTGGCTGAATGAGTCAGTGAGTCGAAGTGTGCGTGCATGAGCTCTGTTCTCTGTTACGGCAAGGCTCTTGCTCTGCTGAGTCAGCCAGGGTTGCCTGATGACCAACAGTAATTCATTCCTTGGCAAGTGGAACTTCTCTAAAACACCCACCCTCATCAGATGTTCCCTTCCCTTCCCTCTCTCAAGCCCCCGGGAATTTATCCTCCAGTTAGGAATGCAGGCAGAAAAAACACTGCATTTTTCCTGAGAAGGATGTCAGATTGGCAATTATTCTTCTAGCTTGTAGGAGGTCTCACCTGCAGGAAATTAAAGGTAAAGAGACTTCGCTGAGCCCTTTGGTGGCCCTAGATCCCTTTCACTGTTGGAGTGTCTGGAGTTCAGAGATGGTGGAAGACAGGCCCTCATTCACAGAGCTGGGAGGTTTGAGCCAACACTTGCATCCAAGGCTTCCACCTCCCCAGGTTTCCAAAAGCAGAGATAAGAGGGGTCCTTTACTCACCAGATTTGGAGCTTGGTTCTGTGGGTGAAGGCCAACTACTTGAAGGGTTTCCTAGAACACGGGACAGGAGAGATGTGAGGAAATGAGGGTGCTTGTCCTCTACTCAATGGAAATCTTTGAGGTTGGTTCATGGCCAACACTCTGTTATCTAATGTTGGACCCTGGGAGTCTTGGGATCCTTTTCTCCATAATTTTTGTGTGCGATGCCCACTGTCTTGAGACTTGAAGGTATAAAGAGAAAACAGGAGCATCACACTACCTGACTTAGAAATATGTTACAGAGCTGTAGTAAGCAAAACAGCATGACATTGGCATAAAGAAAGGCACATAAAAAATGGAACAGAATGGAGAACACAGATATAATCCATGCATTTACATCCAATGGCTTTCTTTTGTGTGTGTGTGATAGAATCTTGCTCTGTCATGCAGGCTGGAGTGTAGAGGTGCAATCTCAGCTCAATGCAACCTCCACTTCCTGGATTCAAGAAATTCTCTTGCTTCAAACTCCTGAGTAGTGGTATTACAGGCACTGATCACCATGCTCAGCTAATTTTTGTATTTTTAGTAGAGACGAGGTTTCACTCTGTTGGCCAGCCTGGTCTTGAACTCCTGGCTTTAGGTGATCCACCCGCCTCGGCCTCCCAAAGTGCTGGAATTGCAGGTGTGAGCCACCATACCCAGCCCATTTAATGGACTTTGACAAAGGTGCCGAGAACTTACAATCAGGAAAGGACAGTCTTCAATAAATGGTGTGGGGAAAACTGGATATCTACATGCAGAGGAATAAAACTGCATCTATACCTGTCACCTTACACAAAAATCAAATGAAAATGGATTAAAAACATGAGTCTAAGGCCTGAACCTATGAAACATGTAGAAGAAAATAATGGGGAAGACATTTGTCTGACGAAAGACATTTTGTTTAAAACCTTCAAAACACAAGTAATCAAAGCAAAAAATAGACCATTAGGATTACATCAAACCAAGCAACTTCTGCACCACCAAAGATAAACCAACAAAGTGAAGAGACAACCCACAAAATAGGAGCAAATATTTGCAAACTATTCATCTGAGATGGGATTAATAACTGGAAATATAAGAAGCTCAAACAACTCAATAAAACAATTTAATTAAAAAACGAGCAAAAGACATGAGGAGACATTTCTCCACAAACAAAACATAGAAATGGCGATCACGTATATGAAAAAGTGCTCAGCATCACTCATCATCACAGAAATGTAAATTACAATCGCGATGAGTTTTCATCTCATCCCATTAAAATGCCTTTTAGGCCGGTGGCTCACGCCTGTAATTCCAGCACTTTGGGAGGCGGAGGTGGGCGGATCACCTGAGGTCGGGAGACCAGCCTGACCAACATGGAGAAACTCCCTCTCTACTAAACATACAAAAATTAGCTAGGCGTGGTGGCACATGCCTGTAATCCCAGCTACTTTGGAGGCTGAGGCAGGAGAATCAGTTGAACGCGGGAGGCAGAGGTTGCAGTGAGCCGAGATCACACCCTTGCACTCCAGCCTGGGCGACTATGAGTGAAACTCCATCTCAACATAAATAAATAAATAAATAAAGTAAAGTAAAATGGCTTTTATCTGCAAGACAGGCAAAACAAATGCTGGCAAGATGGTAGAGAAAGGAGAACCCTGGTACCCTGTTGGTAGGAATGTAAATTAGTACAACTATTATGGAGAAAAGTATGGAAAATCTTTAAAAAACTAAAAGCAGGCTGGGCATAGTGGCTTATGCCTGTAACTTCAGCACTTTGGGAAACCGAGGCAGGCACCTCACTTGAGGTCAGGAGTTTGAGAGCAGCCTGCCCAAAATTGGGATATCCCGTCTGTGCTAAAAAATACAAGAATTAGTCAGGCATGGTGGCGTGCACCTGTAATCACAGCTACTAGGGAGGCTGAGTCAGGAGAATCGTTTGAACCTAGGAAGCAGAGGTTGCAATGAGCCAAGATCGCACCACTTTGACTCCAGCTTGGACTAAGGAGGGAAACTCTTTCTCAAAAAAGAAAAAAAAAAAAAGAGAACTTTCATAGTGTCCAGCAATTTCACTACTGGGTTTATATCCAAAGGAAAGGACATCAGTGTATCGAAGTGATATCTGCACTCATATGACTGTTCCAGCACTGTTCACAGTAGCCAAGATGTGGAGTCAACCTACCTGCCTATCAGTGGGTGAATGGATAGAGAACTGTAGTACACACACACGGTGGAGACTACTCATCCATAGAAACAATAACATCCTGTCATTTGCAGCCACATGGATGGAACTCGAGGTCATTACAAAGATTCCCATTTCTCACCACATGCAGGAGATAAAAGGTGGATCTCATGAAGGTAGAGAATAGAATGGTGGATACCAGAGGCCAGGAAGGGAAGGGTGGAGGGTAACAAAAAAAAGAATATAGATGTATTTATTTATTTAGAAACAGAGTCTCTCTCTGTCTCCCAGGCTGCAGTGCAGTGGCATGATCTCGGCTCAGTGCAACCTCTGCCTCCTGGCTTTAAGTGCTTCTCCTGCCTCAGCCTCCCAAGTAGCTAGGACTACAGGTGCATGCCGGCATGCTTGGCTAATTTTTCTTGTCTGTTTAGTAAAGATGAATTTCCCGCATGTTGGCCAGGCTGATCTCGAGTCCCTGATCTTAAATGATCCACCTTTCTTGGCCTCTCAAAGCGCCAAGATTACAACCGTGAACCACCACACCCAGCATATAAAGGTATTTATGACCACTAGATTTTACTTTTAAAAATGGTAAAGTTGGTAAATTATATAGTTACATTTAACCTCAATAAATATTTTTGAAAATGAAAAGAAAAGAGTGTAGGGGTTGCTGGTGATGACATCTCTCTGTGTGGGTGAGAGGCCAGGATGGGCTTCTGGGAAATGGGTAAGGTTGAGGGGCTGAGGGAACCTCTGATCTCCCCAAACTGAGCCCAGTCTCCCCTTCTCTGGGTCTGTCCTGACCGCTTTCTCCATCTGCCTGGGTGCCTGGAGCCCTGACCATGGGCCTCCATGCAGGCCATGCAAGAGGGTTTGGAGGTGCCCTGTCTGCCATCCTGCACCCTGACCCCCCCCTCACACCCAGTCTTCGTGTTCTCTCTGCATCTGTCCATGCTTCTCCCCATCATCGGCAGGAAGCTCCTCAGCTATGGCTCTAGGATCATAAGACATGGGACAGACACGGGTTTTCCTCACCTGTGACAGAAACAAGCAGTGGGTCACTTGAGTTTGACCACACGCAGGGCAGGGCACGGAAAGAGCCGAAGCATCTGTAGGTCCCTCCGTGGGTGGCAGGGCCCAGAGGAAAGTCTGCCTGGAATGTTCTGTTGACCTTGGGCACTGCACGGAGCCTACGTTCATGGGCCTCCCCTTCCCTGGACAGATGGTAGATGTCATAGGAGCTCCAGGAGCTACAGGACAAGGTCACGTTCTCTCCTGCCTGAACCGTGGGGCCCGGCTGGGCTGAGAGAGAAGGTTTCTCATATAGACCTGGAAGGAGAAGAGGCAGTTTCCTCAGGGAGGTTCTTCCTTGTCACAGCTCCCCTCATACCTGAGCTGAGAACTCACTCCCCTGCTCTATGACCTAATGCTCTCTCTCTCTCTCACCCTCCACCCCAACTCTCTTCATGTCTATTTCCTCCTTCCGCCTTCTCTGTCTCTCTAGGTCTCTGACCTCACTTCCCCACCCCTGGGTATGCTTTCCCTTTTTGGATTGTTTTATTCTCTCTGACTCTCCTTGGATTGGTTGACTTGATCTTCCTTTTTCTATAATTCTGAGTCTCTCACTTTCTGTCTTGTTCATAACTTTCTGCATATTTCTATCTATTATCTATCTATCTATTTTGTGTCTATCTACAAATTATCTGTCATCTATATCTATGTATCATTTATCTATCAATTGTCTATCTGTCTATCCATCAATCATCTATGTATTATCTGTATCTATGTATCATCTCTCTCTCTCTCTATTACCTCTCTGTCTGCCTGTCAGTCTCTATGTATCATCTATGTATCTATATATTTATATATGTGTCTTCTATCTATCTATCTTCATCATCATCATCATCATCATCTCTATGTATCATCTATCAATCATCATCTATGTATCTATAACCTATCCATTATCTATCATCTACCTATTTATCATCTATCTATATCTATCTATCCATCTATCATCTGTCTCTCTCCATCTCCTTGTCTTTCTCTGCCTCTCAGTCTCTCTAGTTCTATTTGGAATCTCTGCAATCCATCCCCACATCTTTATCTTTCTCTGTCTTTGTGCCCCTCCCTCAGGGTTCTGATTTTGGGGCTTTTCTCTCCTCCCTTCCAGCATTCTCTCCACTCCTCTGCCCTCTTTTCTTTCTTTTTGTGTGTCTGTGAGTCTCTCAATCCCCTTCCTCTGGCTCATTCTCTGTGTGTTTATGCCTTTGCTTTTTGAAGTCCCTGATTTATCTCTGTGTCTCTCAGTGATCCTATTATATGTAGGATTATTTGGAATATGAGCCTCAGAATCTAGTCTGGGGACACCAAGTACACACAGTATTTAGGGGTTGGTGTTCTGGGGCCATGATATCCTGGGATAATTATGGCTCCACTGCATGGAAGGCAGAGGTGTCAGAATAAACATGGCATCTGTAGATGCCACAAGGCCTGAGGCCACAGGGCCCAACTCAGGTCAGAAATATGGGTGTCCTTGGGTTCTCCTCGTAGAAGCACTTTGTGGAGACA
Source organism: Homo sapiens (assembly GCF_000001405.40). NCBI lineage: Eukaryota > Metazoa > Chordata > Mammalia > Primates > Hominidae > Homo > Homo sapiens. Next base: position 155,993 of record NW_016107313.1, on the reverse strand, counting down.
AAACAGAAATGAAACTTCTAACCTGTGCCAGGTCTCTGAGCAAAGTCAGCATGGAAGGACACTTCTCTCTGGCACATGTCTGTCTGTCTGAGTGTCTCCTTTACCTCTTTCTCTCTTTTCTACTTCCCCGTATGGCCCCTGTGTCTGTCCTCTGTTATGACACCTGGTCTGTACTTATGTCTCCTGTTTCCCTGTCTCTGTTGGTACAGACCTCACCGAGTCAGTCTCTCTCCATAAGAATCCCACGCTTATCTTCCTCATGACCACCTGGGGGTTCCAAGTCCTGGATCATTCACTCTGTGTCCCAATGACAATGAGAAGAATGTCTGGACACTCTCACCTGTGATCACGATGTCCAGGGGGTCACTGGGAGCTGACAACTGATAGGGGGAGTGAGGAACAGAACCATAACATCTGTAGGTTCCTGCAAGGACAGGCATCAAGGGACCGATGGAGAAGTTGGCCTTGGAGACCCCATCATGGATCTGTCCAACGAGGCGTGAGGGGTCCTCAGAGATCCCATCTCTGTGCAGAAAGAAGTGCTCAAACATGACATCTGACCAACATTGCAGGATGACTGTCTCTCCTGATTTCAGCAGGGGCCCTGGGTGGGCCAGGAGGGAAGGTTTTCTGTGGTTTCCTAGAAAGAGAAGTTGTGAGTTTAGAAGGCATCTCTCTTTATCATCCCATCCATGGCACCTGGAATGAGTGAGGGTTCCCCTCCCAGAGGTCTGTCTCTCTCCTCCCTCTCTGTGTCTCCGTGTCTTTTCTGTGCCCATATCCCCTGGTGCAGGTCCCTCCATTTGTCTTCCTCCCTCTTCTCTGTCCCTCTGTCTCCAGTAGCCCCTGACTCCCTTCCCACTGTGAAGAGAGCCTCATCTCTTGGGCTGTTGTATCTCTTTCCCACTAGTCTCTTTCCTGCTGTCTATGTGAGGGTGGAAGAGGACAGGCTGCATGTCCAGGCTCTCAGCAGCCTGAATCAATCTCTTTTGAACAAATTGGAGTCTCTGGCAGAGGTATCAACTCATCAGTAAGGCAGACATCAGTGTCCACACACCCTGTTCCTGATGGGGATTGGGAGCCTCTCCTGCCATGTCTGTGCCTTCTCCATGGCCCCAGCTTCCATAGGGTGGTCCCTGGTGCTGGTTCCAGGAGCATCAACCCCTTCCTATGTGGATGGAGCCTGGTGGTGGCATCAGCATCCCACCCTTGCTGATCCCACGGTAGCCAACCTTCTCCTTGTTTGGTTTCTTTAATTAATTGATTAATTAATTTATTTTTGAGACAGTCACTTTTTCACCCAGGCTGGAGTGCAGTGGTGTTGTCTTGGCTCACTGCAACCTCTGCCTCCCCGGTTCAAGTGATTCTCTTGCCTCAGCCTCCCCAGTCGTTGGATTACTCGTGCCCACCACCACACCTGGCTATCCTTGTTTGGTTTCCTAGCTTGTCCTTGACCTGGGTTCCTGTGTCGGTTTCCTGTTGCTGCTGCAGAAAATTATCACAAACATGGCAGCAGGAGAGAACACACTGACCCCTTCCACTTCTGGGGACAGAAATTGGATCCAGTTCTCCCTGTGCTGAAATCAAGGCATCTGCAGGGCTGCGTTCCCTCTGGAGACTCAGCGAATCAGTTCTCTTGACTTCTCCAGCCCTTAGAGGCCACCTGCATTCTGTGACTAGTGGCCTTCCTCCACCTTCAAAGCCCACAGTGGCTGATAGCGTCTCCCTCCCACTACACTGCTCTAATCCCCACTCCCCTCTTCCTCCACCTCTCACGCGGACCCTTGTGATTACACTGAGCCCAGCAGGACAGTCCAGGCTGTCTCCCCATCTCAAGGTCAACTCATCAACAACCTGAGCTCCACCTTCCCCTTCAGTCCCCTGCCCTATAACATAAATAGTCACAGGCTCCAGGGTTTACAATGTAGCCATCATTGGCGACAGTTATTCTTCCCACCACAGCGCCCATTTCCCCTGTATTCAATCTCCCTTGACCCCAAATACAGTTGGGGCCTGGGTGATGGGACCCTGATGGACACCCCCACCAGAAGCTCTGGGATTCAGGAGGTGGGACAGTGAGAAGCCCAGACAGAAAGCCTCTGACCTGTGACCATGATCACCAGGGGGTTGCTGGGTGCCGACCACCCAGTGAGGGAGTGTGGGCGTGAACCCCGACATCTGTAGGTCCCTGCATGTGCTGGGGTCACAGGGCCCATGATGAAGCTCTCCTGGAATATTCTGCCGTGGAAGATGGGAACGTGGCTTCTGTCTTCTTTGTACAGCATGAAATTGTTAAACCCACGACGATAGTGACACTGAAGAGCCACGTGTCCTCCTCGAGGCACCACAGTGCTGGGCCGGGCAGACAGGAAGGGTTTGTCCTGACCACCTGGGGGAGAAGGAGGCACTGCCTTAGAGAGGAGGATGTGGAGCCACCCCTCCCTCCCTGTGCTCAGAAGATTCTCCCATTTCCGCTTTCTAAGGCTCCTACCACACCTGGGTGCCCAGGGCTACAGGAAGGACCCACCCCACATAGACATGGCGTCTCCCTACAACAAGTGTCAGCTGAGAACTTTGAGCAAGTGCTGAATAAGTGACTCTTACTAGATTTTAATACTGCAAAATTACTCACATAAAACAACACAAAGTAGACACGGCATGGAGGGCATGTCCTATGTGAATGGAATATCAGCCAATTCATGAACTGAGCCCCCTCAGAGGATTTGGAATGTCAGGGCCATGGCTGTGGTTTCCCCCCTCTTCTGGTAGAAAGACCGCAGCCACACTGCAGCCCCTACCGTCACGGAAACGCTGGAGGGTGTCAGTTATACCTTTGTCCTCAGAGGACCTGCTGTTCCTAGCACTGCTTCCCTCTCTTTCTCTGCTGCTGACACCACTTCCTCCCTGCACACCCCAGCTTGGAGCACCCCAGTCTCACCCCAGTCTTCACAGAGCTTGACTCAGGAAAGGGAAAGAAAGGCCGGGGAGGGCGAGGTCAGAAATGTGGGCCGAGTATCCAAGGGTCCCCTCTTCCTAGTTTATGAGAGACTCCCCGACAGGACTTCCCTCCTGTTTCAGAAAAATCCTCTTATGTGGGGAGATGACACCCTAAGGTTTGGGGAAGGACTCACCCATGAGTGGCCAGGCCCCCTGCAGCAAGAAGAACCCTGGAAAGAAAGATCATGATAGACGATCCAACTGCAGGCAAACCAGGGCACCCTGCTGCCCCCACTGCACTGTGTGTCTTGGCAGCCAGGCCCTTGCTGGGCTGAAGGTAAACTTAGCCTCCCTGCTACCTGCTGCCAAGAACAGGGCTCTCAGCTGTGGAGAGACCCAGGCTCCAGGCCCAGATCAACACTTCCTGGCCCAGATCTCCACTCCAGGCCCATATCTCCACTCCAGGCCCCTATCTCCACTCCAGGCCCCTATCTCCACTCCAGGCCCATATCTCCACATCAGACCCATATCTCCACTCCAGGCCCAGATCTCCCCTCTAGGCCCATATCTCCACTCCAGGCCCATATCTCCACTCCAGGCCCATATCTCCACATCAGACCCATATCTCCACTCCAGGCCCAGATCTCCACCTGCAGGCCCATATCTCCACTCCAGGCCCATATCTCCACTCCAGGCCCGTATCTCCACTCCAGGCCCATATCTCCACACCCAGGCCCATATCTCCCCTCCAGGCCCATATCTGCACTCCAGGCCCATATTTACACCTCCAGGCCCATATCTCCACACCCAGGCCCATATCTCCACTCCAGGCCCATATCTCCACTCCAGGCCCATATCTTTACCTCTAGGCCGAGATCTCCATCCCCACTCTCCCTCCCTCTATTCCCTTCCAGGACTCACCAACGCACGCCATGCTGACGACAGTGAGCGACATGGTGCTGCCGGTGCAGACAGGAGGCCGCGCCCCAGCTCAGCTCAGCAGCGCACAGGATGTTATTTGGCGCCCTGCCCATGCAGTTTACATGTTGACCACATCATGGGAGGGTGACGTACGCAGGCTCTTTCTACCTTGCATGAGGCCCAGTGGGTGCTCGCTCAAGAGCGGAACATGGCTTCCTGGAAATTGTTGTGACTACAATTGCCACCTTGCATCCTTCACTATGACCAGACTCAAAAGACGTCTCAGATCCAACCTCTCACACATGAGGTGATTGAATTCTGTGCTTACATTAAAGACTTTTGATGTATTTTTGTTTTTATCTGAGATTCAAACTTTTCTTCATGTGTAATGTGCAAAATATCTAAGAGGTATTATTAACATTATCAGAGTAATTGTGACAAAAAGCCATTCTAATTTTCCTGATGAGTTTCTAGTACTAAACCTGAGGCACGAGAATTGCTTGAACCTGGGAGGCGGAGGCTGCAGTGAGCTGAGCTCAAGCCACTGAACTCCAGCTTGGGTGACAGAGGAAGAGTCTGTCTCAAGAAAGAAAAAAAAAAGCAAACTAAATAACCTATAATAACAAATCAGAGAACTCAGGTTACCAAATTTTAAGGGGTTCTATAAGTTTATATGAAATGCAGCATCCTCATGAGAGGGGATACAGAGAACCACTGGGCAGAAAACTGTGTCTAAAATACATCTGTGGATACACAGTCCCTTTATAGTTGACAAAGGCTGCCATGTAGTTTAAGGTGGAATAGAATATTTTCTCAATAAATAACACAGGACCATAGGGTTACACGTAGGAAAAAATAAATCTAAACTTATCCTCACACTATAAAAACACTTCTTATTTTTTATCTTGTTGTTGTAAACTTTTTATGCTTTATTTTTAAGATTGACAAATAAAAATTATATACTGTGGTCCTTCACTATTCCTGGGTGATTGGTTCCAGGATCCCCATTCAGATACCAAAATCTGCAGATGCTCAAGCCCCTTGCATGAAATGGCATAGCGAAGCTGGGCACCGTGGCTCACGCCTGTAATCCCAGCACTTTGGGAGGCTGAGTTGGGTAGATCACGAGGTCAGGAGTTCAAGACCAGCTGGTCCAACATTCTGAAACCCCGTCTCTACTAAAAATACACACACAAAAAAATTTATCTGTGCATGGTGGCACGTGCCTGTAATCCTAGGGGAGGCTACTGGGGAGGCTGAGGGAAGACAATCGCTTGAACCTGGGAGGCAGAGGTTGCAGTGAGCTGAGATCATGCCACTGCACTCCAGCCTGGGTGAGAGAGTGAGACTGTCTCAAAAAAAAAAAAAAATAGCATAGCAATTGCATAGAACCCATGCACATCCTCCTGTATACATGAAATCATCTCTTGATTACTTATAATTCCTGACACAGCCTACACGCCACTCAATTTGTGTCGATTCAACATAGTTTTTTGCTTCTTGAAACTTCGGGGATTTTTTTCTGAAAATATTTTTGATTTATTGTTGGTTCAATAAACACCTGTAAACCCCACAGATATGGAGGACCGACTGTATATTTATATTATGAAAGATGATATGTTGATATGTGTCCCCGTGGAGATGAGACTAACAAGGCCTATGTCTCTACAAATGTTTCATCGTGGAATGACTCTGCCAGCTTTCCAGGTCTGCAGAGAGTAAGAATATCACTTGTTCATGTGATTCACGATCCTTGGAGCCTCCTATGTGCTGTATCTTTGGATGGAAATTGGAGTCTCAGAGACAAATCAGGCTACATTCTGCTTCCAGAAGCTCAGAGTCCAGGGCTGAGAACCCAATGGAGAACAGATGGGGTTATGTGGACATGGTAATGATAACACCGGAAGCCTTAGGCAAGAAAAGAGTCTCGTTACCGAAACCATGAGGGCAGACATGTTTATTTGAAGGCGGGAAAACTACATTGAAATTATTTAAAAAATTTATAAGTTTTACTGCTGGCAGAAGGCTGAAAGATAGTCTGAAGGGAGGTGGAACAGCACGTGTCTAAGTGCTGTGTTAAGAGGCAGCCTCTTGTATGTTTGGAATTGTGAGTTCCTCAGTGTGATTGCAGCCTCAGGTAGACTAGGAAGTAAGCCAGTTAGGTTGGAGAGGTGGGCAGGGGTCAAGTGAAATGGAGAATTGTGGGCTAAGCAAAGGAGTGTGTTTTCTCTCCAGCAGGCAGTGGGGACCTTAGACATTTGTAAGCAAGAGAGAGGCATGTTCAGATTCGTGGTGTGAGGAAGAGCGATGCCCTAAGATGAAGACTGATGCCTTCAGATTCCAGCTGCTGGTACATGGGAGCTGGCAACCCGGTTTTGAGACAGGGCTGTTGTCTCCCTAGAAGATCCCCTCAAGGCCTGACTGTGGTGCTCGTGGACAGAAGACAACTTTGGATCTGGGCTCAGCATTTGGAAGTTCTATGTACATGCTGGTATCTGTTGGGGGTGTCTTGGGCCTCTCAGAAGGGCGAGTGATTTTTCTCTGTGTGAAAACACAGTGATCCAATTATGCGTATGACACCTCCTGATGGTCTTGTTCATCAGAATCCTGGAGAGAGGGAAATGCTGAGTGAGGGAGGGTGCTCACATTTTTCAGGACTCTTTGGGAATAAGACTAGCCACGAGGCTGGGCCGAGGAGCACCTACCTCGCTGTTCACTGTTCTGTTCCCTGCAGGCTCTTGGTCCATTACAGCAGCATCTGTAGAAGACGGAAGTCAACAAAAGAGCTCGGAGGGCACTTCTGGGTCCTCATTTCATAAGCAGATACCAACAAACAGGGGGAGGCCATAGGTGCCTGAGGTCCCTCAGTTGCCAACAGCAGACTCAGACATTCTATCTCTCTGAGTTCAAGGACCCATCCCATGAATAGCTCTGAGTTCCCATCCCATTGATTCTATCTCCCACTTTCTGCCTGTCATGGAACCTTCTCCTGGATGTGAGTGGCTGCAGGGGACGTGAGGATACAGTTCAGAATCAGGCAATGGTCTGTGAGCTGAAGGCAGGGGAAGGGAATCTGGTGCTCTCTCTAGAAAGTCCTGCCTCTGTGGCTCCTGTCTTGGGCCAGGGACCATCCTGCTGGTGAGGAACACACATCCGCGTGCTCCCATCCTGCTTCCCCACATGGCCCTGAGCTCTCTGGCCTCTGCTTCGTGAGACTTACTTTTTTTGTCGGAGCACCAGCGATGAAGGAGAAAGAAGAGGAGGATGGTGAAAGGGATTTTGACCACTGAGGTCCCAATCAGAACATGTAGGTGTCTGGGGTTACCTGGAAGAAGAGGAGACACCAATAAGAAGCTAATCATAGCAGTTCCTCTTTATGAATTGTCTCGCATTTCTTGATTGGCAGGTAACCACATACAACGTCTCTTTAGGACAAGCACCCAAATGGCGGGAGACCTAGCTTTCCCCTGCTTTCTCAATTATAGCTCTCATAGTAACCATAGAACGTGCTGAGGATACAACTACTTTAGTTGAGATGTTTGACCCTTTCAAACCTCACATTGAAATTTCACCCCCATTGTGGGAGGTTGGGCCTCTTCAGAGGTGTTTGGGTCATGGAGGTGGATCCATCATGAACAGATCAATGCTGTCCCAAGGAGACGGGGTTAGCAAGTTCCCCCTCTGTTAGTTCCTGGAGAGCTGGTTGTTAAAAAGAGCTTGGAAGCTCCATCGCTCCCTCTCCCCCTTACTCTCTCTCTTGCCGTGTGATCTCTGCGGTCTCTGCACAGACAGACCCTCCTTCCCTTCTGCCAGAGTGGGAGCAGCCTGAGGCCGTCAAGAGAAATAGATTCTGGTGCCATGCTTCCAGTACAGCCTGCAGAACTGTGAGGCAAACCAATCTCTTTTCTTTAGAAGTTACCCAGGCTCAAGTGTTCCTTTAGAGCAACAAAAATGGACTAAGATAGCAACATCCTGAGATCAGGAGGAATGTCTCAGAACAGCCTGGGCTGTCTTCCTGTTCTTCCTGGAGGAGGACGTCATGCAGTGCTTTAGCTGAGTGCTTCCTGTGGCTCCAGGGTACAAAACCCAGGCTGGGCTGCTTTCTGGCTTCCCCCAGTTACACTGCAAATGGGGTGACTCCATATGTCCCGAGCAGCTTTTCTGAGCCTTGAGGGACTGGCTCACATTGAAATGCAGGCTTCTGTTGTCACTCGCTGCTTATCTGTTAGTAATGAACCTGCCTATGTAACGTATCCTCTGTGTGTTCTGTCTCCCTGGAGTGACGGTGAGTGATAGGAATTGGCATAGGCCCAGGTGCAGTCCAGGATTTGTTTAGAGTCTTCTCTGGGAAGACTGCACTGGGATTGATACACAGCGAATGTGCTTTAGGATTTCTACATCCACAGCATTCTTGAGTCAAACAAATTGCATTCACCAAGGAAAGGAAACAAAGGTGAAATCACGATTAAAAATAGCGAAGCAAGATTCTCTTATGTCAAACAGCCAGAAAATAGTGTTGAAGCCCGTGTGAAATGTGCTGCTCTTTGTGATCTCGGGAGACACATGTTAGGCTGCTGTTCTACCCGAGAGGCTGGGGGAAGGACCACCCCCTCCACCATCTATTGCTTCAATACCACCTGTCCTCCTGTGAATTAGTAGGAAAGGGGAACAGGAGCTAGTGCTGTCGCTGATCTCTGATTCCAAGATCTGGACTCACTCCAAGGAATATTAATGTTTCCTCCCCATGGTCTATCTGAATCTCCACAGGTGATTGGAAGTAGGGGTGAGGTGGGCGATTTGGGTGAGTGGGCAAGTTTTTTTTTGCGATGACCAGAGCACTTTCTCTATTCCAGGATCCGTGCTGGAGGATTCAGCGGGCTTTCACATTTTCTATGTGATCTCATGCTCACAGAAAGCCAAATAGGGAAGAGGTTTTAGGCTGATTGCCTAATGGATAAGATAAAGGATCAAAGAAGTAATTATAGAGAAATAGAAAAATGATGATTGGAATTCAGGTGCCTTTGTCATTCGTGTGTGTTTTATTATATTTATGCATTTCTTATTTTTATTTTTTGAGACGGAGTCTCCTTGTGTCACCCAGGCTGGAGTGCAGTGATGCAATCTCCACTCACTGCAACCTCCACCTCCTGGGTTGAAGTCATTCTCCTGCTTCATCCTCCAGAGTAGGAGCTGGGATTACAGGGATGCACCACCATGCTCGGCTAATTTTTGTATTTTTAGTACAGATAGGGTTTCACCATGTTGGCCAGGCTGGTCTGGAACTCCTGACTTCATGGAATCCACCCGCCTTGGCCTCCTGCAGGGCTGGGTTACAAGCATGAGCCACCGTTCACAGACTTGTATATTATGCTATAATAGGTCCCTTCATTTCCACCACCCCTCATATATCTGTCACTCCTTTGCCAGGTATTGATTTATGTGTAGGATGAATAAATCTCAGAAAGAAATTAATTAAGCGAGGATTAAACAAGTAGGAAAATCAAACCCAGCAAGCCTTTCCAGCCAATGATTCTACCTCACAAGCATATCTTATATCCATCTACTTCATTCATTTAGTGTCTAAATCAGCACCACATTTCACCAGTGGGGCGGCAATTGCCTTTTCCACAGTCTCCTAGATTCCAGTTACGCACCTGGGCCTCCCTTATTTTCTTGTCAGTCACTATTAATCATGTAGGGATTCCTGGTTACCCCGAGGTGAATCCAATGGCTGTGAGTGTCAAACACACACTCCTTGTTCCTCCTTAGTTTCCTGTGTACCCAGAGTGCTCTCCATCTCTCTACAGTCATCTTGTCATTCTCCCCACCTCATTCCCAGCATTTCAGGCAGAGCCTCTTCCTTCAACATCAGATTGTTTTCACCTTTGTGCCTTCACAGCTGACAGCTGTGTGTGGAAAATCCTTCCGCCAATCTTTCAGGGGTTCAATCCGTGTTTTTCATTAATGTCACAAATATCTGATTAGTGAGACCTTCTCTGTCACCCAAAATTATACACTCAGCATTATCTATTATTTATTTTGAATTCTGGCTGGGCAAAGTGGCTCACGCCTGTAATCCCAGTACTTTGGGTTGCTGAGATGGTCGGATCACTTGAGGTTGGGAGTTTCAGACAAGCTTGGCCAACATGGTGAAACATCCTCTCTACAAAAAATATACAAAAAGAATTAGCCGGGCATGGTGGCAGTTGCCTGTAATCCCAGCTACTCGAGAGGGTGAGGCAGGAGAATCACTTGGATCCAGGAGACGCAGGTTGCAGTGAGCCAAGATCGTGACACTGCACTGTAGCCTGGAAGACAGAGGGAGACTCTGTCTCAATAAACAAACGAACAAACAAACAAATAGATTTCATGCACAGATGCTTCCCAATGGATCATTCATTTATTGGTCCACTTGTGCATTCATTTTCTGTCCTCCCATTTAACCATCTGCAATATCAGTGTCCCAAGAGCAGAGGCCAAATGCATCTTGTTCACCATTTGTGGAAGGCAGGAGAATGCTGTCCCACCCCAAAATGTCCCTGTCCTAGCCTCCATAGCTTGTGAATATGTTATTTTACATGGAAAGGAGGAATGAAGATTGCAGATGGAATTATGGTTGCTAATCAGCTGAACTTAAAACAAGGGTATCCTGAATGATTTCCGGGAGATTATGACGGATTTTCATCTTGGTGAACCCAATAGAATCCCCAAGTTTTCAAAAGATGAGGAAGAAGGGAGAGCAGCATTCAGAGAAAGAGGTGTGGTAAGGAAGAAGGGTCTGAGTGATGCCATGTGAGATGTGACCAGTCTTTGTGGGTTTTGAGGAAGGAGGAAAGGGACCAGCAGCCAAGGAACTGGGAGCCTTTATAAGATGGGACAAGTGAGAAGCAGATTCTTGCCTGGAATCCTCAGAGGGAAGGCAGGCTTGCTGTCATCTTGATTTTAGCCCAGTGAGATGCACTTCATGCTTTGAGCTAGAGCACTGTAAGATAATTAAATAACCGTTTTGTTTTCACCCACGAATCTTGTGGAAATTTGTTATGGCAACAATAGGAAAAGCTTCCACACTGCACAACCTGAGCATGGGGCCGTGGCTGAATAAGTCAGTGAGTCAAAGTGTGCGTGCATGAGCTCTGTTCTCTGTTACGGCAAGGCTCTTGCTCTGCTGAGTCAGCCAGGGTTGTTTCATGACCAACAGGAGCTCATTCCTTGGCAAGTGGAACTTCTCTAAAACACCTCGCCCTCATCAGATGTTCGCTTCCCTTCCCTCTCTCAAGCCCCCAGGAATTTATCCTCCAGTTAGGAATGCAAGCAGAACAAACATTGCGTTTTTCCTGAGAAGGATGTCAGATTGGCAATCATTCTTCTAGCTTGTAGGAGGTCTCAGCTCCATAAAATGAGAGATGAAGAGATTTCACTGAGCCCTGTGTTGGGCCCAGATCCCTTTCGCTGTTGGAGTATCTGGAGTTCGGAGATGGTAGAAGACAGGCGTACAATGTCAGAGCTGTGAGATGCTGAGTCAACGCCTGAATCCAAGGTTTCCACCTCCCCAGGGTTCCAAAAGCGGATATAAGAGGGTCCTGTACTCACCGGTTTTGGAGCTTGGTTCAGTGGGTGAAGGCCAACTATTTGAAGGGTTTCCTAGAACATGAGACAGGAGAGAGGTGAGGAAATGAGGGTGTCTGTCCTCTACTCAGTGGAAATCTTTGAGTTTGGTTCATGGCCAACACTCTGTTATCTAACATTGGGCCCTGGGAGTCCAGGGATCCTTTCTTCCATAATTTTTGTATGTGACGCCCACTGTCTTGAGACTTCAAGGTATAAAGAGAAAACAGGAGCATCACACTACCTGATCTCAAAATATGTTACAGAGCTGTAGTAAGCAAAACAGCATGATGTTGGCATGAAGAAAGGCACATAGAACAACGGAGCAGAATGAAGAACACAGATATAATCCATGCATTTACATCCAATTTTTTTTATTTTTTCTTTTGAGATGGAGTCTTGCTCTGTCACCCAGGCTGGAGTGCAGAGGTGCAATCTCGGTTCACTGCAACCTCAGCCTCCTGGGTTCAATCAATTCTCTTGCCTCAAACTCCTGAGTAGTAGTATTACAGGTGCTGACCACCATGCTCAGCTAATTTTTATATTTTTAGTGGAGACGATGTTTCATCACGTCGGCCAGAGTAATCTTGTACTCCTGTCCTCAGGTGATCCACCAGCCTTGGCCTCCCAAAGTGCTGAAGTTGCTGGTGTTAGCCACCATGCCCAGCCCATCCAATGGACTTTGACAAAGGTGCCAAGAACTCACAATCAGGAAAGGACAGTTTTTTCAATAAACAGTGCAGGGAAACCTGGACATCTACATGCAGAGGAATGAAACTGCACCTCTACCTGTCACCATACACAAAAATCAAATGAAAGTGGATTAAAGATGTGAGTCTAAGGCCTGAACCTGTGAAACACGTAGAAGAAAATATTGGGGAAATGCTCCAGTACATTTGTCTGAAGGAAGACATTTTGTTTTAAACCTTCAAAACACAAGTAATCGAAGCAAAAATAGACCATTGGGATTACCTCAAACTAAGCAACTTCTGCACCGCTAAAAATAAACCAACAAAGTGAAGAGACAACCCACAGATTGGGAGCAAATATGTGCAAACTATGCATCTGAGACGGGATTAATAACTAGAAGTATAAGAAGCTCAAACAACTCAATAAAACAAATGATTTAATTGAAAAAGGAGCAAAAGACATGAAATTTCCCCACATACGAAAAAGTGCTCAGTATCACTCATCATCAGAGAAACGCGAATTAAAATCAAAGTGAGTTTTCATCTCACCCCATTAAAATGGCTTTTAGGCCGGGCGAGGTGGCTCACGTCTGTCATCCTAGAACTCTGAGAGCCCGAGGTGGGCGAATCTCATAAGGTCGGGAGTTTGAGACCAGTCTGACCCACATGGAGAAACGCTGTCTCTACTAAAAATACAAAAATTAGTCGGGCGTGGTGGTGTGTGCCTGTAATTCCAGCTACTCGGGAGGCTGAGGCAGGAGAATCGCTTGAACCTGGGAGGTGGAGGTTGCGGTGAGCCGAGATCGCACCACTGCACTCCAGCCTGGGTGACAAGAGCGAAACTCCATCTCAAAATAAAATGAAATAAAATAAAATGGCTTTTAGCTGCAAGACAGGCAAAACAAATGCTGGCAAGGTGGTAGAGAAAGGAGAACCCTGGTACCCTGTTGGTAGGAGTGTAAATTAGTACAGCCATTACGGAGAAAAGTATGGAAGTCCTTTAAAGAACTAAAAAGAGGTTGGATGAAGTGGATCATGCCTGTAATCCCGGCACTTTGGGAGACCGAGGCGGGCACCTCAGTTGAGGTCATGAGTTTGAGAGCAGCCTAGCCAACCTGGGGAAACCCCATGTACACTAAAAAAAACCAAAAAGTATCCCGGCATGGTGGCGTGCACCTGTAATCCCAGCTACTAGGGAGGCTGAGGCAGGAAAATCATTTGAACCCAGGAGGCGGAGGTTGCAATGAGCCAAGATCACATCACTTGTACTCCAGCCTGGGCACAGAGGGAAACTGTCTCAAAAACAAAAACAAAACAACAAACGAAAAACTAAAAAGAGAACTTTCATAGTATCCAGCAATTTCACTACTGGGTTTATATCCAAAGGAAAGTAAATCAATGTATCGAAGTGATATCTGCACTCGTATGATTGGTGCAGCACTCTTCACAGTAGCCAAGATGTGGAGTCAACCTACCTGCCCATCAGTGGATGAATGGATAGAGAGAATGTAGTACATACGCACAGCGGAGACTACTCATCCATAGAAAGAATAACATCCTGATATTTGCAGCCACATGGATGGAACTGGAAGTCATTACAAATATTCTCATTTCTCACCCATATACAGGAGCTAAAAGGTGGATCTCATGAAGATAGAGAGTAGAATGGTGGCTACCAGAGGCCAGGAAGAAAAGGGTGGAGGATAAAACAAACAAACAAAAAATTTATATGTATGTATTTATGACCACTAGACCTTACACTTAAAATTGGTAAACGTGGCCGGGCGCGGTGGCTCATGCCTGTAATCCCAGCACTTTGGGAGCCTGAGGCGGGTGGATCACGTGGTCAGGAGTTCCAGAGCAGCTCGACCAACATGGTGAAACCCCCTCTCTACTAAATATACAAAAAGTAGCCCGGCGTGGTGATGGGCGCCTGTAGTACCAGCTACTCAGGTGGCTGAGGCAGGAGAATCGCTTGAACCCAGGAGGCGGAGGTTACAGTGAGCTGAGATTGTGCCACTGCATTCCAGCATAGGAGACAGAGCTAGACTCCACCTCAAAAAAAAAAAAATGTTAAAAGTGGTAAGCTATATAGGTATATTTAACCTCAATGAATATTTTTTCAAACAAAAAGAAAAGGATGTAGGGGTTGCTGGTGATGACATCTCTGTGTGGGTGAGAGGCCAGGAAGGGCTTCTGGGAAATGGGTAAGGTTGAGGGGCTGAGGGAACCTCTGATCTCCCCAAACTGAGCCCAGTCTCCCCTTCTCTGGGTCTCTCCTGACCGCTTTCTACATCTGCCTGGGTTTCTGGAGCCCTAATCGGAGGCCTCCATGCAGGCCATGCAGGAGGGTTTGGAGGTGCTGTGTGTGCCATCCTGCGCCCTGATCCCTCCCTCACAGGCATGCTGCGTCTTCTCTCTGCATCTGTCCATGCTTCTCTCCATCATCAGCAGGAAGCTCCTCAGCTAAGGCTCTAGGATCATAGGACATGGGACAGATATGGGGTTTCCTCACCTGTGACGGAAACAAGCAGTGGATCACTCGAGTTTGACCACTCGTAGGGAGCGTCACGGAAAGAGCCGAAGCATCTGTAGGTCCCTCCGTGGGTGGCAGGGCCCAGAGGAAAGTCGGCCTGGAATGTTCCGTTGATGCTGCGCACTGCAGGGAGCCTACGTTCATGGGCCTCCCCTTCCCTGGATAGATGGTACATGTCATAGGAGCTCCGGGAGCTGCAGGACAAGGTCACATTCTCTCCTGCCTGAACCGTGGGGCCCGGCTGGGCTGAGAGAGAAGGTTTCTCATATAGACCTGGAAGGAGAAGGGGCAGTTTCCTCAGGGGGGATCTTCCTTGTCACAGCTCCCCTCACACCTGACCTGAGAACTCACTCCCCTGCTCTATGGCCTAATGCTCTCTTTCTCTGTCTCACCCTCCACCCTATCTCTCTTCATGTCTATTTCCTCCTTCCACCTTCTCTGTCTCTGTAGGTCTCTGACCTCACTTCCCTACCTCTAGTTATGTTTTCCTTTTTTGGATTGTTTTATTCTCTCTGGCTCTCCTTGGATTGGTTGACTTGATGTTACTTTTTTTAACTCTGAGTTTCTCAGTTTGTGTCCCGTTCATAACTTTCTGCATATTTCTATCTATTATCTATCAATCCATCTATTTATCTATTCGGTGCCTATCTACAAATTCTCTACCTGTCATCTATATCTATATATCATCTATTTATCTATCAATTGTCTATCCGTCAATCATCTATTATCTATATATATGTATCATCTCTCTCTCTCTATTATTTCTCTCTTTGTCTTCCTCTCTATCTCTATGTATTATCTATCCATCTATCTTCATCATCATCATCTCTATGTATCATCTATTAATGAATCAATCAATCATCATCTATGTATCTATAACCTATTATCTATCATCTACCTATATATCATCTATCTATATCTATCCATCATCTATCTGTATCTATCCATCTATCATCTGTCTTGCTCTGCCTCTCGGTCTCTCTAGTTCTCTTTGGAATCTCTGCAATTCATCCCCACATCTCCATCTTTCTATGCCCTTGTGCCTCGCCCTCAGGACTCTAATTTTAGTGGTTTTCTCTGCTCTCTTCCATCATTCTCTCCACTTCTCTGCCCTCTTCTCTCTCTTTATGTGTCTGTGAGTCTCTCAATCTCCTTCCTCTGGCTCTTTCTCTGTGTGTTTATGTCTTTGCTTTTTGGTGTCCCTGATTTCTCTCTGTGCTTCTCAGTGATCCTCTCATATGTGATATGTGGGGTTATTTGGAATGTGAGCCTCAGAATCCAGTCTGGAGACCACAAGTTCACACAGCATACAGGGGTTGGTGTTCTGGGGCCATGATATTTTGGGACGATTATTCTCCATTGCATGGAAGTCAGAGGTGTCAGAATAAGCATGGCATCTGTAGGTGCCACAAGGCCTGAGGCCACAGGGCCCAACTCAGGTCAGAAATATGGGTGTCCTTGGGTTCTCCTGGTAGAGAACACTTTGTGGAGGTAAAACAGAAATGAAACTTCTAACCTGTGCCAGGTCTCTGAGCAAAGTCAGCATGGAAGGACACCTCTGTCTGGGACATGTCTGTCTGTCTCCTTTAACTCTTTCTGTCTTTTCTAACTCCCGGTATGGCCCCTGTGTTTGTCCTCTGTTATGACACCTGGTCTGTACTTGTGTCTCTTGTTTCTCTGTCTCTGTTGGCACAGACCTCACCAAGTCAGTCTCTCTCCATAAGAATACCAAGCTCATCTTCCTTACAACCACCTGGGTCTCCAAGTCCTGGATCATTCACTCTGCATCCCAATGACAATGAGAAGAATGTCTGGACACTCTCACCTATGATCACCATGTCCAGAGGGTCACTGGGAGCTGACAACTGATAGGGGGAGTGAGGAACAGAACCGTAGCATCTGTAGGTTCCTGCAAGGACAGGCATCATGGGACCAATGGAGAAGTTGGCCTTGGAAACCCCATCATGGTGCTCTCCAATGAGGTGCAAAGTGTTGTTAAACTTCCCCTCTCTGTGCAGAAGGAAGTGCTCAAACATGACATCCGACCAACATTGCAGGATGACTGTCTCTTCTGATTTCACCAGGTGACCTGGGAGGGCCAGGAAGGAAGGTTTTCTGTGGACTCCTAGGAAGAGAGGTTGTGAGTTTAGAAGGTGTCTCTCTTTATCATCCCATCCATGGCACCTGGAATGAGTGAGACTTCCCTTCGCTGGTGTCTGTCTCTCTGCTTCCTCTCTGTGTCTTCATGTTCTTTTCTGTGCCCATAACTCCTGGTGCAGGTCCTTCCATCTGTCTCCCTCCCTCTTCTCTGTCCCTCTGTCTCTAGTAGCTGTGATTCCCTTCCCACTGGGCTCAGCCTCATCTCTTGGGCTGTTGTATCTATTTCACACTAATGTCTTTCTTACTGTCTATGTGGGAGTGGAAGAGGAAGCAGGATAGGCTGCACGTCCCGGCTCTTAGCAGCCTGGTTCAATCTCTTTTGGACGAATTGGAATCCTTGGCAGGAGGTATGAACTGATCAGTAAGGCAGGCACCAGTGTCCACACACCCTGTTCCTGGTGGGGACTGGGAGCCACTCTTGCCATGTCTGTGCCTTCTCCATGGTGCCAGTTTCCATAGGCTGGCTCCTCGTGCTGATTTGAGGAGTATCAACCCCTCCCTATGTGGATGGAGCCTGGTGGTGGCATCATCATCCCACCCTTGCTGATCTCGGTGTAGCCAACCTTCTCTTTGTTTGGTTTCTTTAATTAATTAATTAATTTTGGAGACAGAGTCTCACTCCTTCACCCAGGCTGGAGTGAAGTGGTGTGGTCTACGCTCACTGCAACCTCTGTCTCCTGGGTTCAAGCGATTCTCCTGCTCTCAGCCTCCCGAGTCGCTAGGATTACATGCACCTGCCACCATGCCTGGCTATCCTTGTGTCTTTTCTTAACTTGTCCTTGACCTGGGTTCCAGTGTTGGTTTCCTGTTGCTGCTGTAGAAAATTATCAGAAGCATGGCAGCAGGAGAGAGCACACTGACCCCCTCCGATTCTGGAGACAGAAAGCGGACCCTGTTTTTCGAGGGCTAAAATCAAGGCATCTGCAGGGCTGTGTTCCCTCTGGAGACTCAGGAGAATCAGTTACTTGACTTTCCCAGCCTCTATAGGCCACCTGCATTCATGGCTTATGGCCTTCATCCACCTTCAAAGCTAATGGAGTCTCCCACTACGCTGCTCTAATCCCCACTCTCCTCTTCCTCCTCCTTTCATGTGGACACTTGTGATTATATTGAGCCCACCGGGACAGTCCAGGCTGTCTCCCCATCTCAAGGTCAACTCATCAACAACCTGAGCTCCATCTTCCCCTTCAGTCCCTTCCCCTATAACATAAATAGTCACAGACTCCAGGGATTAGAATGCAGTCATCACTGGGGACACTTATTCTTCCCACCACAGCACCCATTTCCCTGTATTCAATCCCCCTTTACCCCAAATACAGTTAGGGCCTGCGTGATGGGACCCTCAAGGACATGCCTACCAGAAGCTCTGGGATTCAGGAGGTGGGACAAGGAGAATCCCAGACAGGAGCCCTCTGACCTGTGACCATGATCACCAGGGGGTTGCTGGGTGCCGACCACCCACTGGGGGAGTGTGTGTGTGAACCCCGGCATCTATAGGTCCCTGCATGTGACGGGGTCACAGGGCCCATGAAAAGGCTTTTCCAGAATATTCTGTTGTACAGCTCAGGGACAGGCACCCCATCATCCTTGTACAGACTGAAGTTGTTAAACCCAAGATTAGAGTGACACTGAAGAGTCACATGTTCTGGAGGCACCACAAGGCTGGGCCAGGTAGAAAGCAAGGGCTTGTCCTGACCACCTTGGGGTGAAGGAGGCGCCGCCTTAGAGAGGAGGATGTGGAGCTGTGCCTCCCTCCCTGTGCTCAGAAGATTCTCCCCACTTTCCACATTTCTATGGCTGCTATCACACCTTGGTGCCTAGGGCTAAAGGAAGGACCCATCCCACAAAGACAAGGTGTCTCCGTACAACAAAAGTGTCAGCTGAGAACTTTGAGCAAGTGCTGAGTAAGAGACTCCTACTAGATTTTAATACTGTAAGATTACTGACATAAAACAACACAGGGTAGACATGAAGTGGAGGGCATGTCCTTTGAGAATGGAATATCAGCAGTTGCCTGAATGAAAATAAAAAACTTAGCCCCCATCAGAGGATTTGGAATGTCAGGGCCATGGCTGTGGTTTCCCACCTCTTCTGGTAGAATGACAGCAGCCACACTGCAGCCCCTACCGTCATGGAAACGCTGAAGTGTGTGAGTAACACCTTTGTCCTCAGAGGATCTGCTGTTCCTACCACTTCCCCACCACACAACCCAGCTTTGAACACCCTAGTCCAACCCTGGTCCCCACACAACTTGACTCTGCCAAGGGGTTGAGAGGCCAGGGAGGCAAGGTCGGAACTGTGGGCCGAGCACCCCAGGGTCCCCTCTTCCTAGTTTATGAGAGACTCCCTGACAGGACTTCCCTCCCGTTTCAGGAAAATCCTCTTATGTGGGGAGATGACACCCTAAGGTTTGGAGAAGGACTTACCCTCCTGTGGCCAGGCCCCCTGCAGCAAGAAGAACCCTGGAAAGAAAGATCATGATGGAAGATCCATTTGCAGGCAAACAAGGCCTTCCTTGCTGCCCCCACTGGGCTGTGAGTCTTGATAGCCAGCCCCTTCCTGGGCCGAAGGTAAACTCACCATCAGTGCCTACCTGCACCCAAGAACAGTGCTCTCGGCTGTACAGAGACCCAGCCTCCAGGCCCATATCCCCACCCCAAGCCCATATCTCCACTCCAGGCCCATATCTCCACTCCAGGCCGATATTTCCACCCTAGACCCATATAGCCAATCCGGGCCCACATCTCCAATCCAGGCTCAGATCTCCACCCTCGGCCCATATCTCCAATCCAGGCCCATATCTCCACTCCAGGCCCATATCTCCACTCCAGTCCCATATCTCCTCTCCAGTCCCATATCTCCACTCCAGGCCCATATCTCCACCCCAGGCCCAGATCTCCACCTCCAGGCCCATAACTACACTCCAGGATCATATCTCCACTCCAAGCCCATATCTCCACATCAGGCCCATATCTCCACTCCAGTCCCATATCTCCACACCCAGGCCCATATCTCCATTCCAGGCCCATATCCCCATCCTAGGCCCATATCTCCACCGTAGGCCCAGATCTCCACTCCAGGCCCATATCTCCACTCCAGGGCCATATCTCCACTCCAGGCCCATATCTACACACCAGGCCCATATCTCCACCCCATGCCCATGTCTCCACTCCAGACCCATATCTCCACCCCACGCCCATATCTCCACTCCAGGCCCATATCTCCAACCCACGCCCATATCTCCACCTCCAGGCACATATCTCCACCCCACGCCCGTATCTCCACTCCAGTCCCATATCTCCACTCCCGGCCCATGTCTCCACCCCATGCCTATATCTCCACTCCAGTCCCATATCTCCACTCCAGGCCCATATCTCCACTCCAGACCCATATCTCCACTCGGCCCATGTCTACACTCCAGGCCCATATCACCACCTCCAGGCCCATATCTCCACTCCAGGCCCATATCTCCACCTCCAGGCCCGTATCTCCACTCCAGACCCATATGTCCACTCCAGGCCCATATCTCCACTCCAGGCCCATATCTCCACTCCAGGGCCATATCTCCACTCCAGGCTCATATCTCCACTCCAGGCCCATATCTCCACTCCAGGGCCATATCTCCACTCCAGGCTCATATCTCCACTCCAGGCCCATATCTCCACTCCAGGGCCATATCTCCACTCCAGGCCCAGATCTCCACCTCCAGGCCCGTATCTCCACTCTAGTCCCATATCTCCACTCCAGGCCCATATCTCCACCTCCAGGCCCATAACTTCACTCCAGGCCCATAACTCCACTCCAGGCCCATATCTCCACCTCCAGGCCCATATCTCCACTCCAGGGCCATATCTCCACTCCAGGCTCATATCTCCACTCCAGGCCCATATCTCCACTCCAGGGCCATATCTCCACTCCAGGCCCAGATCTCCACCTCCAGGCCCCTATCTCCACTCTAGTCCCATATCTCCACTCCAGGCCCATATCTCCACCTCCAGGCCCATAACTTCACTCCAGGCCCATAACTCCACTCCAGGCCCATATCTCCACCTCCAGGCCCATATCTCCACTGCAGACCCATATCTCCACTCCAGGCCCATATCTCCACTCCAGGCCCAGATCTCCACTCCAGGCCCAGATCTCCACTCCAGGCCCAGATCTCCACCTCCAGGCCCCTATCTCCACTCTAGTCCCATATCTCCACTCCAGTCCCATATCTCCACCTCCAGGCCCATAACTTCACTCCAGGCCCATAACTCCACTGCAGACCCATATCTCCACTCCAGGCCCATATCTCCACTCCAGGACCATATCTCCACTCCAGGCTCATATCTCCACTCCAGGCCCGTATCTCCACCTCCAGGCCCATAACTTCACTCCAGGCCCATAACTCCACTCCAGGCCCATATCTCCACTCCAGTCCCATATCTCCACTCCAGCCACATATCTCCACCCTAGGCTCCTACCTCCCCTCCAGGTTCCTATCTCTCCTCCAGGTTCCTCTCTCCACTCCAGGTTCCTATCCCCACTCCAGGCCCATATCTCCACTCCAGGCCCAGATCTTCACTCCAGGCCCAGATCTCCACTCCAGGCGCAGATCTCCACTTCTAGGCTCATCACTCCATCTCTAGGCCCAGATCTCCACTCCAGGCCCATAACTCCACCTCCAGGCCCATATCTCCACCTCTGGGCCCAGATCTCCATCCCCACGCTCCCTCCCTCTATTCCCTTCCAGGACTCACCAACACACGCCATGATGATGACCATGAGCGACATGGTGCTGCCGGTGCAGACAGGCGGCCGCGCCCCAGCTCAGCTCAGCAGCACACAGGATGTTATTTGGCGCCCTGCCCATGCAGTTTACATGTTGACCACATCATGGGAGGGTGACGTACGCAGGCTTTTTCTACCTTGCATGAGGCCCAGTGGGTGCTCGCTCAAGAGCGGAACATGGCTTCCTGGAAATTGCTCTCACTAGAATTGACACCTCGCGTCCTTCACTATGACCAACTCAAAACATGTCTTAGATCCAACCTCCCAAACATGAGATGCCTAAAATCTGTGCTAACATGAAAGACTTTTCATGAATTTTTATTGTTTTTATCTGAGATTCGAACTCTTCTTCCTGTGTAATATGCAAAATATCTAATAGGTATTATTAGTGTTTTCAGAGTCATTGTGACTAATAAACCATTAGAATTGTTCATGCTTGTATTTCTAGTATTACAGCAGAACCAGTTCAAATGATTTAAATTCCCAGGGAAGGATTATGCAATTATTTACAATCTTAGAATTGTACTTTATCAGCAAAAACCACACATGTAAATTCTGGATTTTTGTAGTTTTATCTATAATTTGTCTCATGACTCAAGATTCCAGAGTCCCAACTTTGGAGTTTGCTCTCTCTCTGTCTCTCTGCCTCCCTCATTTTAAATTTTACAGAAATATCCAGTAACATAATGCTATAGAAAATCAAGTTTCCCCCAGCAGGTCGGGAAGCCGAGGTGGGCGGATCAACTGAGATGAGGAGATTGAGAGCAGCCTGGCCAACATAGTGAAACCGTGTCTCTGCTAAAAATCCAAAAATTAGCCGTGCCTGGTGGCAGGCACCTGTAACGCCAGCTACTCAAGAGGCTGAGGCACGAGAATCGCCTGAACCTGGGAGGCGGAAGTTGCAGTGAGCTGAGATTGCTCCACTACAGTCCCGCCTGGGCGACAGAGCAAGACTCCGCCTCAAGAAAAAAAAATAGCAAGTAGCCTATAATAACAAATTAGAGGGCTCTGGCTACTAAATTTAAAGGGTTTTATAAGGCTACATGAAGTGCAGCATCCTCAAGAGTGTGGACACAGAGAGCCCCTTAGCAGAAACAGTGTCTAAAATACATCCGTGTACACACAGTCCCTTTAGAGTTGACAAAGGCTGCCGTGTGGTTTAAGGTGGCATAGAATGTCTTCTTAATAAATAATATTAAACCAAAGGGTTACACGTAGGAAAAAATAAATCTAAACTTATTCTCACACTATAAAAACACTTCTTACTTTTTATCTAGTTATTGTACATTTTTTATGATTTATATTTAAAATTGAGAAATAAAAGTCATATACGGTCATCCTTTACTATTCGTGGGTGATTGGTTTCAGGATCTCCACTCAGGTACCAAAATCTGCAGATGCTCAAGCCTCTTACATAAAATGACACAGCATTTGGATATAACCCATGCACATCCTCCTGTATACATGAAATCATCTCTTGATTACTTATAATTCCTGATACAGCCTACACACTGCCTCATTTGTGTCCATTCAACATAGTTTTGCATTTTGAAACTTTGTGGACATTTTCTCTGAATATTTTTGATTTACACTTGGTTCAATAAACACCTGTAAACCCCACAGATATGGAGGAGCGACTGTATATTTATAGTATGAAATATGATGTGTTGATATGTGTCCCCGTGGAGATGAGACTAGCAAGGCTTATGACTCTACAAATGTTTCATCGTGGAATGACTCTGCCAGCTTTCCAGGTTGCAGAGAGTAAGAATATCACTTGTTCATGTGATTCACGATCCTTGGAACCTCCTATGTGCTGCATCTTTGGATGGAAATTGGAGTCCCAGAGACAAATGAGGCTCCACCCTGCTTCCAGAAGCTCAGAATCCAGGGGTGAGAACCCAGCGGAGAACAGATGGGGTTATGTGGACATGGTAATGATAACAGCGGTTTCTTTCAGCGAATACAGTGTCACATTACCTGAAGCAATGAGGGCAGACATGTTTATTTGAAGAGGAGACAGCTACATTGAAATCACAAAAAATTTTATAAGTTTCACTGCTGACAGAAGGCTGGAAAATAGTCCGAAGAAAGGTGAAACAGCATGAGGGAAGGTGGAACAGCACGTGGGTAAGTGCCACGTCAAGAGGGAGCCTCTTGTATGTTTGGAATTGTGAGTTCCTCAGTGTGATTGCAGCCTCAAGTAGACTAGGAAGTAAGCCAGTTAGGTTGGAGAGGTGGGCAGGGGTCAAGTGAAATGGAGAACTGTGGGCTAAGCAAAGGAGTGTGTTTTCTTTCCAGCAGGCAGTGGGGACCTAGACATTTGTAAGCAAGAGAGAGGCACCAGATTTGTGGCGTGAGGAGGAGCGATGCCCTAAGATGAAGACTCACGCCTTCAGATTCCAGCTGCTGGTACATGGGAGCTGGCAACTCGGTTTTGAGACAGGGCTGTTGTCTCCCTAGAAGACGTCCTCAAGGCCTGACTGTGGTGCTCATGGGCAGGAGACAACTTTGGATCTGGGCTTAGCATTTGGAAGTTCCGTGTACAAGATGGTATCTGTAGGGGGTGTCTTGGGCCTCTGAGAAGGGCGAGTGATTTTTCTCTGTGTGAAAACGCAGTGATCCAACTGTGCGTATGTCACCTCCTCAGGGTCTTGTTCATCAGAGTCCTGGAGAGAGGGAAATGCTGAGTGAGGGAGGGAAATGCTGAGTGAGGGAGGGTGCTCACGTTTTCCAGGACTGTTTGGGAATAACACTAGCCACGAGGCTGGGCCGAGGAGCACCTACCTCGCTGTTGGCTGTTCTGTTCCCTGCAGGCTCTTGGTCCATTACAGCAGCATCTGTAGGAGACGGAAGTCAACAAAAGAGCTCGGAGGGCACTTCTGGGTCCTCATTTCATAAGCAGATACCAACAAACAGGGGGAGGCCATAGGTGCCTGAGGTCCCTCAGTTGCCAACAGCAGACTCAGACATTCTATCTCTCTGAGCTCAAGGACCCATCCCATGAATAGCTCTGAGTTCCCATCCCATTGATTCTGTCTCCCACTTTCTGCCTCTCATGGAACCTTCTCCTGGATGTGAGTGGCTGCAGGGGACATGAGGATACAGTTCAGAATCAGGCAACGGTCTGTGAGCTGAAGGCAGGGGCAGGGAGTCTGGTGCTCTCTCTAGAAAGTCCTGCCTCTGTGGCTCCTGTCTTGGGCCAGGGACCATCCTGCCAGTGAGGAACACACAGCTGTGTGCTCCCATCCTGCTTCCCCACATGGCCCTGAGCTCTCTGGCCTGTGCCCCGTGAGACTTACTTTTTTTGTTGGAGCACCAGAGATGAAGGAGAAAGAAGAGGAGGAGGATGAAGAGGATGATGACCACTGAGGTCCCAATCAGAATGTGCAGGTGTCTGGGGTTACCTGGAAGAAGAGGAGACACCAGTAAGAAGCTAATCATAGCAGTTTCTCTATATGAATTGTCTTGCATTTCTTGATTGACAGGTAACCACTTACAGCATCTCTTTCGGACAAGCACCCAGATGGCGGGAGACCTAGCTTCCTCCTGCTTTCTCAGTTATAGCTCTCATAGTAACCATGGAACGTGCTGAGGATACAACTACTTTAGTTGAGATGTTTGACCCCTTCAAACCTCACATTGAAATTTAACCCCCAGTGTGGGAGGTTGGGCCTCTTGGGAGGTGTTTGGGTCATGGAGGTGGATCCATCATGAACAGATCAATGCTGTCCCAAGGAGACGGGGTTAGCAAGTTCCCTCTCTATTAGTTCCTGGAGAGCTGGTTGTTAAAAAGAGCTTGGAAGCTCCATTGCTCCCCCTCCCCCTTGCTCCCTCTCTTGCCGTGTGATCTCTGTGGTCTCTGCACAGACAGACCCTCCTTCCCTTCTGCCAGAGTGGGAGCGGCCTGAGGCCATCATAAGAAATAGATGCTGGTGCCATGCTTCCAGTACAGCCTGCAGAATGGTGAGGCAAACCAATCTCTTCTTTAGAAGTTACCCAGGCTCAAGTGTTCCTTTAGAGCAACAAAAATGGACTAAGACAGCAAAGTCCTGAGATCAGGAGGATCGTCCCAGAACAGCCTGGGCTGTCTTCCTGTTCTTCCTGGAGGAGGACGTCATGCAGTGCTTTAGCTGAGTGCTTCCTGTGGCTCCAGGGTACAAAACCCAGGCTGGGCTGCTTTCTGGCTTCCCCCAGCTACACTGCAAATGGGGTGACTCCACATGTCTCGAGCAGCTTTTCTGAGCCTTGGGGAACTGGCTCACATTGAAATGTAGGCTTCTGTTGTCACTCGCTGCTTATCTGTTAGTAATGAACCTGCCTATGTAACGTATTCTCTGTGTGTTCTGTCTCCCTGGAGTGACGGTGAGTGATAGGAATTGGCATAGGCCCAGGTGCAGTCCAGGAGGTGTTTAGAGTCTTCTCTGGGAAGACTGGACTGGGATTGATACACAGCGAATGTGCTTTAGGATTTCTACATCCACGGCATTCTTGAGTTAAACAACTTGCATTCTCCAAGAAAAGGAAACAAAAGTGAAATCAATATAAAAAAAGCGAAGTAGAATTCTCTTATGTCAAACAGCCAGAAAATAGTGTTGAAGCCCGTGTGAAATGTGCTACTCTTTGTGATCTCGGGAGACACATGTTAGGCTGCTGTTCTACCTCAGAGGCTGGGGGAAGGACCACCCCCTCGACTATCTATTGCTTCAATACCACCTGTCCTCCTGTGAATTAGTAGGAAAGGGGAGCAGGAGCTAGTGCTGGCACTGATCTCTGATTCCAAGATCTGGACTCACTCCAAGGAGTATTAGCATTTACCTCCCCATGATCTATCTGTATCTCCACAGGTGATTGGAAGTAGGGGTGAGATGGGGGATTTGGGTGAGGGGGCAAGTTTTTTTTGTGATGACCAGAGCACTTTCTCTATTCCAGGATTTGTGCTGGAGGATTCAGCGGGCTTTCACATTTTCTATATGATCTCATGCTCACAGAAAGCCAAATACGGAAGAGGTTTTAGGCTGATTGCCTAATGGATAAGATAAAGGATCAAAGAAGTAATTATAGAGAAATAGAAAAATGATGATGGGAATTCAGGTGCCTTTGTCATTCGTGTGTGTTTTATTATATTTATGCATTTCTTATTTTTATTTTTTGAGATGGAGTCTCCTTGTGTCACCCAGGCTGGAGTGCAGTGATGCGATCTCCACTCACTGCAACCTCCACCTCCTGGGTTGAAGTCATTCTCCTGCTTCATCCTCCAGAGCAGGAGCTGGGATTACAGGGATGCACCACCATGCTCGGCTAATTTTTGTATTTTTAGGAGAGATAGGGTTTCACCATGTAGAGATAGGGTTTCTCCATGTTGGCCAGGCTGGTCTCGAACTCCTGACTTCTTGGAATCCACTGGCCTTAGCCTCCTGCAGTGCTGGGTTACAGGAGTGAGCCACCGTTCACAGACTTGTATACTATGCTATAATAGGTCCCTTCATTTCCACCACCCCTCATATATCTGTCACTCCTTTGGCAGGTATTGATTTATGTGTAGGAGGAATAAATCTCAGAAAGAAATTAATTTAGCAAGGATTAAACAACTAGGAAACTCAAACCCAGCAAGCCCTCCCTGCAAATGATTCTACCTCCCAAACATAGCTTATATCCATCTGCTTCATCCACTTAGGGTCTAAATCAGCACCACATTTCACCAGTGGGGCGGCAATTGCCTTTTCCACTGTCTCCTAGATTCCAGTTACGCACCTGGGCCTCCCTTATTTTCATGTCAGTCACTATTAATCATGTAGGGATTCCTGGCTACCCCGAGGTGAATCCAATGGCTGTGAGTGTCAAACACACACTCCTTGTTGCTCCTTAGTTTCCTGTGTACCCAGTGTGCTCTCCGTCTCTCCACAGTCGTCTTGTCATTCTCCCCACCTCATTCCCAGCATTTCAGGCAGAGCCTCTTCCTTCCACATCAGATTGTTTTCAGCTTTCTGCCTTCACGGCTGACAGCTGTGTGTGGAAAATCCTTCCGCCAATCTTTCAGGGGTTCAATCCGTGTTTTTCATTAATGTCACAAATATCTGATTAGTGAGACCTTCTCTGTCACCCAAAATTATACACTCAGCATTATCTATTATTTATTTTGAATTCTGGCTGGGCAAAGTGGCTCACGCCTGTAATCCCAGTACTTTGGGTTGCTGAGATGGTCGGATCACTTGAGGTTGGGAGTTTCAGACAAGCTTGGCCAACATGGTGAAACATCCTCTCTACAAAAAATATACAAAAAGAATTAGCCGGGCATGGTGGCAGTTGCCTGTAATCCCAGCTACTCGAGAGGGTGAGGCAGGAGAATCACTTGGATCCAGGAGACGCAGGTTGCAGTGAGCCAAGATCGTGACACTGCACTGTAGCCTGGAAGACAGAGGGAGACTCTGTCTCAATAAATAAATGAACGAACAAACAAATAGATTTCATGCACAGATGCTTCCCAATGGATCATTCATTTATTGGTCCACTTGTGCATTCATTTTCTGTCCTCCCATTTAACCATCTGCAATATCAGTGTCCCAAGAGCAGAGGCCAAATGCATCTTGTTCACCGTTCGTGGAAGGCAGGAGAATGCTGTCCCACCCCAAAATGTCCCTGTCCTAGCCTCCATAGCTTGTGAATATCTTATTTTACATGGAAAGAAGGAATGAAGATTGCAGATGGAATTACGGTTGCTAGTCAGCTGAACTGAAAACAAGGGTATCCTGAATGATTTCCGGGAGATTATGATGGATTTTCATCTTGGTGAACCCAATAGAATCCCCAAGTTTTCAAAAGATAAGGAAGAAGGGAGAGCAGCATTCAGAGAAAGAGGTGTGGTAAGGAAGAAGGGTCTGAGTGATGCCATGTGAGATGTGACCAGTCTTTGTGGGCTTTGAGGAAGGAGGAAGGGGACCAGGAGCCAAGGAACTGGGAGCCTTTAGAAGCTGGGACAAGTGAGAAGCAGATTCTTGCCTGGAATCCTCAGAGGGAAGGCAGCCTTGCTGTCACCTTGATTTTAGCCCAGTAAGATGCACTTCCTACTTTGAGCTACAGCACTGTAAGATAATTAAAAAACCGTTTTGTTTTCACCCACGAATCTTGTGGAAATTTGTTATGGCAACAATAGGAAAGGATTCCAACTGCACAGCCTGAGCATGGGGCCGTGGCTGAATGAGTCAGTGAGTCGAAGTGTGCGTGCATGAGCTCTGTTCTCTGTTACGGCAAGGCTCTTGCTCTGCTGAGTCAGCCAGGGTTGCTTCATGACCAACAGTAATTCATTCCTTGGCAAGTGGAACTTCTCTAAAACACCTCGCCCTCATCAGATGTTCCCTTCCCTTCCCTCTCTCAAGTCCCCAGGAATTTATCCTCCAGTTAGGAATGCAGGAAGAAAAAACACTGCATGTTTCCTGAGAAGGATGTCAGATTGGCAATCATTCTTCTAGCTTGTAGGAGGTCTCACCTGCAGGACATTAAAGGTTAAGAGACTTCGCTGAGTCCTTTGGTGGCCCTAGATCCCTTTCACTGTTGGAGTGTCTGGAGTTCAGAGATGGTGGAAGACAGGCCCTCATTCACAGAGCTGGGAGGTTTGAGCCAACACTTGCATCCAAGGCTTCCACCTCCCCAGGTTTCCAAAAGCAGAGATAAGAGGGGTCCTTTACTCACCAGATTTGGAGCTTGGTTCTGTGGGTGAAGGCCAACTACTTGAAGGGTTTCCTAGAACATGGGACAGGAGAGATGTGAGGAAATGAGGGTGCTTGTCCTCTACTCAATGGAAATCTTTGAGGTTGGTTCATGGCCAACACTCTGTTATCTAATGTTGGACCCTGGGAGTCTTGGGATCCTCTTCTCCATAATTTTTGTGTGCGATGCCCACTGTCTTGAGACTTGAAGGTATAAAGAGAAAACAGGAGCATCACACTACCTGACTTAGAAATATGTTACAGAGCTGTAGTAAGCAAAACAGCATGACATTGGCATAAAGAAAGGCACATAAAAAATGAAACAGAATGGAGAACACAGATATAATCCATGCATTTACATCCAATGGCTTTTTTTGTGTGTGTGTGTGTTAGAATCTTGCTCTGTCATGCAGGCTGGAGTGCAGAGGTGCAATCTCAGCTCAATGCAACCTCCACTTCCTGGATTCAAGCAATTCTCTTGCCTCAAACACCCGAGTAGTGGTATTACAGGCACTGGTCACCATGCTCAGCTAATTTTTGTATTTTTAGTAGAGACGAGGTTTCACTCTGTTGGCCAGCCTGATCTTGAACTCCTGGCTTCAGGTGATCCACCCGCCTCGGCCTCCCAAAGTGCTGGAATTGCAGGTGTGAGCCACCATACCCAGCCCATTTAATGGACTTTGACAAAGGTGCCGAGAACTTACAATCAGGAAAGGACAGTCTTTTCAATAAATGGTGTGGGGAAAACTGGATATCTATATGCAGAGGAATAAAACTGCATCTATACCTGTCACCATACACAAAAATCAAATGAAAATGGATTAAAAACATGAGTCTAAGGCCTGAACCTATGAAACATGTAGAAGAAAATAATGGGGAAGACATTTGTCTGACGAAAGACATTTTGTTTAAAACCTTCAAAACACAAGTAATCAAAGCAAAAAATAGACCATTAGGATTACATCAAACCAAGCAACTTCTGCACCACAAAAGATAAACCAAGAAAGTGAAGAGACAACCGACAAAATAGGAGCAAATATTTGCAAACTATTCATCTGAGACGGGATTAATAACTGGAAATATAAGAAGCTCAAACAACTCAATAAAACAATTTAATTAAAAAACGAGCAAAAGACATGAGGAGACATTTCTCCACAAACAAAACATAGAAATGGCGATCACGTATATGAAAAAGTACTCGGCATCACTCATCATCAGAGAAATGTAAATTACAATCGCGATGAGTTTTCATCTCATCCCATTAAAATGCCTTTTAGGCCGGTGGCTCACGCCTGTAATTCCGGCACTTCAGGAGGCGGAGGTGGGCGGATCACCTGAGGTCGGGAGACCAGCCTGACCATCATGGAGAAACTCCCTCTCTACTAAACATACAAAAATTAGCTAGGCGTGGTGGCACATGCCTGTAATCCCAGCTACTTTGGAGGCTGAGGCAGGAGAATCAGTTGAACGCGGGAGGCGGAGGTTGCAGTGAGCTGAGATCACACCCTTGCACTCCAGCCTGGGAGACTATGAGTGAAACTCCATCTCAACATAAATAAATAAATAAAATAAAGTAAAGTAAAATGGCTTTTACTGCAAGACAGGCAAAACAAATGCTGGCAAGATGGTAGAGAAAGGAGAACCCTGGTACCCTGTTGGTAGGAATGTAAATTAGTACAACTATTATGGAGAAAAGTATGGAAATTCTTTAAAAAACTAAAAGGAGGCTGGGCATAGTGGCTTATGCCTGTAACTTCAGCACTTTGGGAAACCGAGGCAGGCACCTCACTTGAGGTCAGGAGTTTGAGAGCAGCCTGCCCAAAATTGGGATATCCCGTCTGTGCTAAAAAAATACAAGAATTAGCCAGGCATGGTGGCGTGCACCTGTAATCACAGCTACTAGGGAGGCTGAGTCAGGACAATCATTTGAACCTAGGAGGCACAGGTTGCAATGAGCCAAGATCTCACCACTTAGACTCCAGCTTGGACTAAGGAGGGAAACTCTTTCTCAAAAAAGAAAAAAAAAAAAAGAGAACTTTCATAGTGTCCAGCAATTTCACTACTGGGTTTATATCCAAAGGAAAGGACATCAGTGTATCGAAGTGATATCTGCACTCATATGACTGTTCCAGCACTGTTCACAGTAGCCAAGATGTGGAGTCAACCTACCTGCCCATCAGTGGGTGAATGGATAGAGAACTGTGGTACACACACACAGTGGAGACTACTCATCCATAGAAACAATAACATCCTGTCATTTGCAGCCACATGGATGGAACTGGAGGTCATTACAAAGATTCCCATTTCTCACCCACATGCAGGAGATAAAAGGTGGATCTCATGAAGGTGGAGAATACAATGGTGGACACCAGAGGCCAGGAAGGGAAGGGTGGAGGGTAACAAAAAAAAGAATATAGATGTATTTATTTATTTAGAAACAGAGTCTCTCTCTGTCTCCCAGGCTGCAGTGCAGTGGCATGATCTCGGCTCAGTGCAACCTCTGCCTCCTGGCTTTAAGTGCTTCTCCTGCCTCAGCCTCCCAAGTAGCTAGGACTACAGGTGCATGCCAGCATGCTCGGCTAATTTTTCTTGTCTGTTTAGTAAAGATGAATTTCCCACATGTTGGCCAGGGTGATCTCGAGTTCCTGATCTTAAATGATCCACCTTCCTTGGCCTCTCAAAGCGCCGAGATTACAACCGTGAACCACCACACCCAGCATATAAAGGTATTTATGACCACTAGATTTTACTTTTAAAAATGGTAAAGGTGGTAAATTATATAGTTACATTTAACCTCAATAAATATTTTTGAAAATGAAAAGAAAAGGGTGTAGGGGTTGCTGGTGATGATATCTCTCTGTGTGGGTGAGAGGCCATGATGGGCTTCTGGGAAATGGATAAGATTGAGGGGCTGAGGGAACCTCTGATCTCCCCAAACTAAGCCCAGTCTCCCCTTCTCTGGGTCTGTCCTGACCGCTTTCTCCATCTGCCTGGGTGCCTGGAGCCCTGATCGGAGGCCTCCATGCAGGCCATGAAGGAGGGTTTGGAGGTGCCCTGTCTGCCATCCTGCGCCCTGACTCCGCCCTCACACCTGCTGTGTCTTCTCTCTGCATCTGTCCATGCTTTTCTCCATCATCAGCAGGAAGCTCCTTAGCTAAGGATTTAGGATCATAGGACATGAGAGAGATATGGGCTTTTCTCACCTGTGACAGAAACAAGCAGTGGGTCACTCGGGTCTGACCACTCGTAGGGAGAGTGACGGAAAGAGCCGAAGCATCTGTAGGTCCCTCCGTGGGTGGCAGGGCCCAGAGGGAAATCTGCCTGGAATGTTCTGTTGACCTTGCGCACTGCAGGGAGCCTACGTTCATGGGCTCCCCGCTCCCTGGATAGATGGTACATGTCATAGGAGCTCCGGGAGCTGCAGGACAAGGTCACGCTCTCTCCTGCCTGAACCTTGGGGCCCGGCTGGGCTGAGAGAGAAGGTTTCTCATATGGACCTGGAAGGAGAAGAGGCAGTTTCCTCAGGGAGGTTCTTCCTTGTCATAGCTCCCCTCATACCTGAGCTGAGAACTCACTCCCCTGCTCTATGACCTAATGCTCTCTCTCTCTCTCTCACCCTCCACCCCATCTCTCTTCATATCTGTTTCCTCCTTCTACCTTTTCTGTCTCTCTAGGTCTATGACCTCACTTCCCCACCCTGAGGTATGTTTTCCCTTTTTGGATTGTTTTATTCTCTCTGACCCTCCTTGGATTGGTTGACTTGATCTTCCTTTTTCTTTAATTTTGAGTCTCTCACTTTCTGTCTTGTTCATAACTTTCTGCACATTTCTATCTATTTATCTATTTTGTGTCTATCTACAAATTATCTATCATCTATATTTATGTATCACTTATCTATCTCTCTATCAATTGTCTATCTGTCTATCTATCCATCAATCATCTATTATCTATATATGTATCATCTATCTCTCTCTCTATTACCTCTCTGTCTGCCTCTCTGTCTCTATTTATGTATCATCTATGTATATATCTATGTGTCTATCATCATCATCGTCATCTCTATGTATCATCTATCAGTCATCATCTATGTATCTATAACCAATCCATTATCTATCATCTACCTATTTATCATCTATCTACGTCTATCTATCCATCTATCATCTCTCTCTCTCCGTCTCCTTGTCTTTCTCTGCCTCTCAGTCTCTCTAGTTCTATTTGGAATCTCTGCAATCCATCCCCACATATTTATCTTTCTCTGTCTTTGTGTCCCTCCCTCAGGGTTCTGATTTTGGGGCTTTTCTCTCCTCCTTTCCATCATTCTCTCCATTCTGCCCTCTTTTCTTTCTTTTTATGTGTCTGTGAATCTCTTAATCTCCTTCTTCTGGCTCATTTTGTGTGTGTTTATGTCTTTGTTTTTTGGTGTCCCTGATTTTTCTCTGTGTCTCTCAGCGATCCTATCATATGTGGGATTATTTGGAATATGAGCCTCAGAATCCAGTCTGGGGACCCCAAGTTCACACAGCATACAGGGGTTGGTGTTCAGGGGCCATGATATCCTGGGATGATTACTCTCCATTGCATGGAAGGCAGAGGTGTCAGAATAAACACGGCATCTGTAGGTGGCACAAGGCCTGAGGCCACAGGGCCCAACTCAGGTCAGAAATATGGGTGTCCTTGGGTTCTTCTGGTAGGAACACTTTGTGGAGGTAAAACAGAAATGAAACTTCTAACCTGTGCCAGGTCTCTGAGCAAAGTCAGCATGGAAGGACACCTCTCTCTGGGACATGTCTGTCTGTCTGAGTGTCTCCTTTACCTCTTTCTCTCTTTTCTACCTCCCTGTATGGCCCCTGTGTCTGTCCTCTGTTATGACACCTGTTCTGTACTTATGTCTCCTGTTTCTCTGTCTCTGTTGGTACAGACCTCACCAAGTCACTCTCTTTCCATAAGAATCCCACACTTATCTTCCTCATGACCACCTGGGGGTTCCAAGTCCTGGATCATTCACTCTGTGTCCCAGTGACAATGAGAACAATGTCTAGACACTCTCACCTGTGACCACGATGTCCAGGGGATCACTGGGAGCTGACAACTGATAGGGGGTGTGAGTAACAGAACCGTAGCATCTGTAGGTCCCTGCAAGGGCAAGCATCATGGGACCGATGGAGAAATTGGCCTTGGAGACCCCATCATGGATCTGTCCAACGAGGCGTGAGGGGTCCTTAGAGATCCCCTCTTTGTGCAGAAAGAAGTGCTCAAACATGATATCTGACCAACATTGCAGGATGACTCTCTCTCCTGATTTCACCAGGGGACCTGGGTGGGCCAGGAGGGAAGGTTTTCTGTGGTTTCCTAGAAAGAGAAGTTGTGAGTTTAGAAGGCATCTCTCTTTATCATCCCATCCATGGCACCTGGAATGAGTGAGGGTTCCCCTCCCCGTGTCTGTCTCTCTCCTCCCTCTCTGCATCTCCGTGTCTTTTCTGTGCCCATATCCCCTGGTGCAGGTGCCTCCATCTGTCTTCCTCCCTCTTCTCTGTCCCTCTGTCTCCAGTAGCCCCTGACTCCCTTGCCACTGTGAAGACAGCCTCATCTCTTGGGCTGTTGTATCTGTTTCCCACTAATCTCTTTCCTGCTGTCTATGTGGGGGTGGAAGAGGAGAGGCTGCATGTCCAGGCTCTTAGCAGCCTGAATCAATCTCTTTTGAACAAATCCCCAGTTCAAGTGATTCTCTTGCCTCAGCCTCCCCAGTCGTTGGATTACTCGCGCCCACCACCACATCTGGCTATCCTTGTTTGGTTTCCTAACTTGTCCTTGACCTGGGTTCCTGTGTTGGTTTCCTGTTGCTGCTGCAGAAAATTACCACAAACATGGCAGCGGGAGAGAACACACTGACCCCTTCCACTTCTGGAGACAGAAATTGGATCCAGTTCTCCCTGTGCTGAAATCAAGGTGTCTACAGGGCTGCGTTCCCTCTGGAGAATCAGCGAATCAGTTCTCTTGACTTCTCCAGCCCTTAGAGGCCACCTGCATTCTGTGACTAGTGGTCTTCCTCCACCTTCAAAGCCCGCAGTGGCTGATAGCGTCTCCCTCCCACTACACTGCTCTAATCCCCACTCCCCTCTTCCTCCACCTCTCATGTGGACCCTTGTGATTACACTGAGCCCAGTGGGACAGTCCAGGCTGTCTCCCCATCTCAAGGTCAACTCATCAACAACCTGAGCTCCACCTTCCCCTTCAGTCCCCTGCCCTGTAACATAAATAGTCACAGGCTCCAGGGATTACAATGTAGCCATCATTGGGGACAGTGATTCTTCCCACCACAGCACCCATTTCCCCTGTATTCAATCTCCCTTGACCCCAAATACAGTCAGGGCCTGGGTGATGGGACCCTGACGGACACCCCCACCAGAAGCTCTGGGATTCAGGAGGTGGGACAGTGAGAAGCCCAGACGGAAAGCCTCTGACCTGTGACCATGATCACCACGGGGTTGCTGGGTGCCGACCACCCAGTGGGGGAGTGTGGGTGTGAACCCCGACATGTGTAGTTCCCTGCATGTGCTGTGGTCACAGGGCTCATGTTGAAGCTCTCCTGGAATAATCTGCCATGGAAGATGGGAACGTGGATTCTGTCTTCTTTGTATAGCATGAAATTGTTAAACCTATGACGATAGTGACACCGAAGAGTCACGTGTCCTCCTCGAGGCACCACAGCGCTGGGCCAGGCAGACAGGAAGGGCTTGTCCTGACCACCTGGGGGAGAAGGAGGCACTGCCTTAGAGAGGAGGATGTGGAGCCGCCCCTCACTCCCAGTGCCCAGAAGATTCTCCCCATTTCCACTTTCTAAGGCTCCTACCACACCTGGGTGCCCAGGGCTACAGGAAGGACCCATCCTGCATAGACATGGCGTCTCCCTACAACAAGTGTCAGCTGAGAACTTTGAGCAAGTGCTGGAGAAGCAACTCTTACTAGATTTTAATACTGCAAAATTACTCATATAAAACAACACAAAGTAGACACGGCATGGAGGGCAAGTCCTATGTGAATGGAATATCAGCCAATTGATGAACTGAGCCCCCATCAGAGGATTTGGAATGTCAGGGCCATGGCTGTGGTTTCCTCACCTTTTCTGGTAGAAAGACCACAGCCACACTGCAGCCCCTACCATCACGGAAACGCTGGAGGGTGTGAGTTACACCTTTGTCCTCAGAGGACCTGCTGTTCCTAGCACTGCTTCCCTCTCTTTCTCTGCTGCTGACACCACTTCCTCCCTGCACACCCATCTTGGAGCACCCTAGTCTCACCCCAGTCTTCACAGAGCTTGACTCAGGAAAGGGAAAGAAAGGCCGGGGAGGGCAAGGTCAGAAATGTGGGCCGAGCATCCGAGGGTCCCCTCTTCCTAGTTTATGAGAGACTCCCCGACAGGACTTCCCTCCCATTTCAGGAAAATCCTCTTATGTGGGGAGATGACACCCTAAGGTTTGGGGAAGGACTCACCCACGTGTGGACCGGCCCTCTGGACCAAGAAGAACCCTAGAAAGAAAGATCATGATGGACCATCCATCTGCAGGCAAACCAGGGCACCCTGCTGCCCCCACTGGGCTGTGCGTCTTGGCAGCCAGGCCCTTGCTGGGCTGAAGGTAAACTCACCCTCGCTGCCTACCTGCCCCCAGGAACAAGGATCTCGGCTGTGCAGAGACTCAGCCTCCAGGCCCAGATCTCTACCTCCAGGCCTAGATCTACACAACAGGCCCAGATCTCCACTCCAGGTCCGTATCTCCACTCCAGACCCATATCTCCTCTCCAGGCTGATAAGTCCACTCCAGGCCCATATCTCCACTCCAGGCTCCTATCTCAACTCCAGGCTCATATATCCACTCCAGGCTCATATCTCCACTCCAGGCCCATATTTCCACTCCAGGCTTCTATCTCCTCTCCAGGCCCATATCTCCTTTCCAGGCTTGTATGTCTGCTCCAGGCCCGTATCTCCACCCCAGGCCCATATCTCCACTCCAGGATCATATCTCCACTCCAGGCCCAGATCTCCACTTCATGCCCTTAACTCCACCTCCGGGCCCATAACTCCACCTCTAGGCCCATATCTCCACTCCAGGCCCATATCTCCACTTCAGGCCCATATCTCTACTGCAGGCCCATAACTCCACCTCCAGGCCCATATCTCCACTCCAGGCCCATCGCTCCACTTCTAGGCCCATCACTCCACCTCTAGGCCCACATCTCCCCTCCAGGCCCATCCATATCTCCCCTCCAGGCCCATATCTCCACCCCAGGCACATATCTCCACCCCAGGCCCATATCTCCACTCCAGGCCCAGATCTCCACTCCAGGCACATATCTCCACCCCAGGCCCCTATCTCCACTCCAGGCCCAGATCTCCACTCCAGGCCCAGATCTCCACTTCAGGCCCATAACTCCACCTCCAGGCCCATAACTCCACCTCTAGGCCCATATCTTTACCTCCAGGTCCAGATCTCCATCCCCGCACTCCCTCCCTCGATTCCCTTCCAGGACTCACCAACACACGCCATGCTGACGACCATGAGCAACATGGTGCTGCCGGTGCAGACAGGCGGCCGCGCCCCAGCTCAGCTCAGCAGCGCACAGGATGTTATTTGGCGCCCTGCCCATGCAGTTTACATGTTGACCACATCATGGGAGGGTGACGTACGCAGGCTCTTTCTACCTTGCATGAGGCCCAGTGGGTGCTCGCTCAAGAGCGGAACATGGCTTCCTGGAAATTGCTCTCACTAGAATTGACACCTCGCGTCCTTCACTATGACCAACTCAAAACACGTCTTAGATCCAACCTCCCGAACACGAGATGCCTAAAATCTGTGCTAACATGAAAGACTTTTCATGTATTTTTTTTGCTTTTATCTGAGATTCAAACTCTTCTTCCTGTGTAATATGCAAAATATCTAATAGGTATTATTAAGGTTTTCAGAGCAATTGTGACAATAAACCATTAGAATTTTTCATGATTGTATTTCTAAGTATTACAGCAGAACCAGTTCAAATGATTTAAACTCCCAGGGAAGGATTATGCAATTATTTACAATCTTAGAATTGTACTTTATCAGCAAAAATCACAACATGTAAATTCTGGATTTTTGTAGATTTATCTAGAATTTGTCTCATGTCCCAAGATTCCAGAGTTCCAACTCATGGTTTGCTCTCTCTCTGTCTCTCTGCCTCCCTCATTTTAAATTTTACAGAAATATCCAGTAACATAATGCTATAGAAAATCAATTTCCCCAGCACTTTGGAAGCCGAAGTGAGTGATCAACCGAGGTCAGGAGTTTGAGACCAGCCTGGCCAATATAGTGAAACCATGTCTCTGCTAAAAATACAAAAATTAGCCATGCCTGGTAGCAGGCACTTGTAATGCCAGCTATTCAAGAGGCTGAGCCACGGAATCCCTTGAACCTGGGAGGCGGAAGTTGCAGTGAGCCGAGATCGTGCCACTGCACTCCAGCCTGGGCAACAGAGCGAGACTCTGCCTCAAGAAAAATAAAAAAAGCATAGCAAATAGCCTATAATAAATAACTAGAGGACTCCAGCTACCAAATTTTAGGGGTTGTATAAGGCTGCATAAAATGCAGCATTCTCAAGAGAGTGGACAGAGAGAGAGCCACTGAGCAGAAAACAGTGTCTAAAATACATCCGTGTACACACAGTCCCTTTATAGTTGACAAAGGCTGCCATGTGGTTTAAGGTGGAATAGAATGTCTTCTCAATAAATAACATGGGCCCAAGGGTTACACATGGAGAAAAATATATCTAAAAGTATTCTCACACTATAAAACACTTGTTTA
The DNA here is from genome assembly GCF_000001405.40 of Homo sapiens. NCBI lineage: Eukaryota > Metazoa > Chordata > Mammalia > Primates > Hominidae > Homo > Homo sapiens. The sequence continues at coordinate 116,836 of NW_016107313.1, read as the reverse complement.
TTTTATCTTGTTATTGTAATTTTTTTATGTTTTATATTTAAAATTGAGAAATAAAAATTATATACAGTCATCCCTCACTATTCGTGGGTGATTGGTTTCAGGATCTCCACTCAGATAGCACAATCTGCAGATGCTCAAGCCTCTTACATGAAATGGCACAGCATTTGCAAATAACCCATGCACATCCTCCTGTGTACATGAAATCATCCCTTGATTATTTATAATTCCTGATACAGCCTACACACAGCTTCATTTGTGTCCATTCAACATAGTTTTGCTTTTTGAAACTTTGTGGATTTTTTCTCTGAATATTTTTGATTTATATTTGGTTCAATAAACACCTGTAAATCCCACAGATACAGAGGACCGACTGTATATTTATAGTATGAAAGATGATGTGTTGATATGTGTCCCCGTGGAGATGAGACTGACAAGGCCTATGACTCTACAAATGTTTCATCATGGAATGACTCTGCCAGCTTTCCAGGTCTGCAGAGAGTAAGAATATCACTTGTTCATGTGATTCACGATCCTTGGAACCTCTTATGTGCTGCATCTTTGGATGGAAATTGGAGTCTCAGAGACAAATCAGGCTCCACCCTGCTTCCAGAAGCTCAGAGTCCAGGGGTGAGAACCCAGTGGAGAACAGTTGGAGTTATTTGGACATGGTAATGATAACACTGGAAACTTTCAGCCAAAAAAAGAGTCACCTAAAGAATGAAGGCAGACATGTTTATTTGAAGAGGAGAGAACTACACTGAAATCAAAAAAATTTTATAAGGTTTGCTGATGCCAGAAGGCTGAAAAATAGTCTGAGGAAAGGTGGAACAGCACGAGGGAAGGTGGAACAGCACGTGTCTAAGTGCCGTGTTAATAGAGAGCCTCTTGTATGTTTGGAATTGTGAGTTCCTCAGTGTGATTGCAGCCTCAAGTAGACTAGGAAGTAAGCCAGTTAGGTTGGAGAGGTGGGCAGGGGTCAAGTGAAATAGAGAATTGTGGGCTAAGCAAAGGAGTGTGTTTTCTCTGCAGCAGGCAGTGGGGACCTTAGACATTGGTAAGCAAGAGACAGGCACCAGATTTGTGGTGTGAGGAAGAGTGATGCTCTAAGATGGAGACTCACGCCTTCAGATTCCAGCTGCTGGTACATTAGAGCTGGCAAGCTGGGTTTGAGACAGGGCTGTTGTCTCCCTAGAAGATCCCATCAAGGCCTGACTGTGGTGCTCATGGGCAGGAGATAACGCTCTGGGCTCAGCATTTGGAAGTTCTATACACACGCTGGTATCTGTTGAGGGTCTCTTGCTCCTCTGAGAAGGGCCAGTGATTTTTCTCTGTGTGAAAATGCAGTGATCCAACTGTGCGTATGTCACCTCCTGAGGGTCTTGTTCATCAGAGTCCTGGAGAGAGGGAAATCCTGAGTGAGGGAGGGTGTTCACATTTTTCAGGACTATTAGGGAATAAGACTGTATCCATGAGGCTGGGCTAGGAGGACCTACCTCCCTGTTCACTGTTCTGTGTCCCGCAGGCTCTTGGTTCATTACAGCAGCATCTGTAGGAGACGGAAGCAATCAAAACAGCTGGGAGGGCACTTCTGGGTCCTCATTTCATGAACAGATACCAACACACAGGGGGAGGCCATAGGTGCCTGAGGTCCCTCAGCTGCCAACAGCCAGACTCAGACATTCCATCTCTCTGAGTGCAAGACCCCATTCCATGAATAGCTGTCAGTTCCCATCCCATTGATTCTATCTCCCACTTTCTGCCTGTCATGGAATCTTCTCCTGGATGTGAGTGGCTGCAGGGGACGTGAGGATACAGTTCACAATCAGGCAATGGTCTGTGAGCTGAAGGCAGGGGCAGGGTGTCTGGTGCTCTCTCTAGAAAGCTCTGCCTCTGGCTCCTGCCTTGGGCCAGAGACTTTCCTGCCAGTGAGGAACACACACCTGCGTGCTCCCATCCTGCTTCCGCACAGGGCCCTGAGTTCTCTGGCCTCTGCTTCGTGAGGCTTACTTTTTTTTTTGGAGCACCAGCGATGAAGGAGAAAGAAGGGAAGGATGGTGAAGAGGATGATGGCCACTGAGTACCTAATCACAGCATGCAGGTGTCTGGCGATACCTGGAGGAAGATGAGAATCCAATAAGAAGCTAACCATAGCAGTTCCTCTTTGTGGATTGTCTCTCATTTCTTGGTTGCCAGGCAACCACATAAAACACCTCTTTAGGACAAGCACCCACGAGGCGGGAGACCCAGCTTTCTCCTGCTTTCTCCGTTATAGTTTTCATAATAACAATAGAATGTGCTGATGATACAACTGCTATTGTTTCAATGTTTGACCCCTCCAAACCCCACTTTGAAATTTAATCCCCAGTGTGGGAGGTTGTGCCTATTGGGAGGGGTGTTTTGGTCATGGGGGTGGATCCATCATGAATAGATTAATGCTGTCCCCAGAGGACGGGTTTAGCAAGTTCTCCCTCTATTAGTACCCTGGAGAGTTGATTCTTAAAAAGAGCTTGGAAGCTCCATCACACCCCCTTTCTCCCTCTCTTGCCATGTGATCTCTGTGGTCTCTGCACACGCAGGACCCCCTTCTCTTCTGTCAGTGTGGGAGCAGCCTGAGGCCGCAGCCAGAAATAGATGGTAGTGTCCTGCTTCTAGTACAGCGTGCCGATCAGTGAGCCAAACACATCTCTTTTCTTTAGAAGATACCCAGGCTCAAGTGTTCTTTTATAGCAACAAAAATAGGCTAAGACAGCAACATCCTGAGATCAGGAGGAACGTCTCAGAACAGCCTGGGCTGTCTTCCTGTTCTTCCTGGAGGAGAACATCATGCAGTGCTTTAGCTGAGTGTTCCCTGTGGCTCCAGGGTACAAAACCCAGGCTGGGCTGCTTTCTGGCTTCCCCCAGCTACAGTGCACATGAAGTGACTCCATGTGTCCTGAGCAGTTTTTCTGAGCCTTGAGGGACTGGCTCACCCTGAAAGGAAGGTTTCTGTTGTCACTCGCTGCTTATCTATAAGTAATGAACCTGCCTATGTAATGTATTCCCTGTGTGTTCTGTCTCCCTGGAGTGATGGTGAGTGATAGAAATTGGCACAGGCCCAGGTGCAGTATGGGAGGTGTTTAGAGTCTTCTCTGGGAAGACTGGACTGGGATTGATACACAGTGAATGTGCTTTACAGTTTCTACATCCACAACCCTCTTGACTCAAACAAATTACATTCTCCAAGAAAAGGAAAAAACAGTGACATTGAAATCAACATAAGTGAGGTTGAGCTGTCTTATATCAAACAGCCAGGAAATAATGATGAAGCTCGTGGGCAACATGCTACTTTTGTCATCTTGGGAGTCAGATATTAGGCTGCTGTTCCACCCGAGAGTCTGGGGGAAAGACCACCCCCTCCATCATCTGTTGCTTCAATACAGCCTGTCTTTCTGTGAATTACTCCAAAAGGTGACCAGGAGATAGTGCTGGCACTGGTCTCTGAGTCTACGATCTGAACTCCAAAGAATATTAGTTTTTACCTCCCCATGATCTATCTGTATCATTAATGTGATTGGAAGTAGGGGTGAGGTGGGGGATTTGGGTGAAGGGGCAAGTTTTGTGCCATGAACAGATCACGTTCTCTATTCCAGGACCTGTGCTGGTGGGTTTCACATTTTCCATATGATCTCATGCTCACAGAAAGCCAAATAAGGAAGATGTTTTCGCCTGATTTTCTTATGGATAGGATAAAGGATCAAAGAAGTCATTATAGAGAAATAGAAAAATGATGATTGGAATTGGTGTGCCTTTGTCATTCGTGTATGTTATATTATATTTATGTATTCTTTATTTTTATTTTTTGCCATGGAGTCTCACTCTGTCACCTAGGGTGCAGTGCAATGACGCGATCTTGGCTCACTGTAACCTCTCCCTCCCTGGTTGAAGCCATTCTCCTTCTTCAACTTCCTGAATAGCTGGTATTACAGGCACGCGCCACCACCCCCAGCTAGTTTTTGTATATTTTGTAGAGATGGGGTTTCACCATGTTGTCCAGGCTGATCTCGAACTCCTGATCTCACTTGATCCAGCCTCCTCAGCCTCCCAAAATGTTGGGTTACAGGTGTGAGCCACCGTTCAGAACCTTGTGTGTTATATTATAATAGGTCTCTTCCTTTGCACCACCCCTCATGTATCTCTCACTCCTCTGCCAAGTATTGATTTACATGTAGGAAAAATAAATCTCAGAAAGAAATCAATGAAGTGAAGATTAAACAATTAGGAAAAATCAAACCAGGCAAGCCCTCCCTGCAAATTACTCTACCTCACAAACACATCTTGTGTCCATCTTTCATTCATTTAGTGTCTAAATCAGCACCACATTTCACCAGGGGGGCGGGAATTGCCTTTTCCACAGTCTCCTAGATTCCAGTTATGCACCTGGGCCTCCCTTATTTTCATGTCAGTCACTATTCATCATGTAGGGATTCCCAGTTAGCCCCGAGGTAAGTCCAATGGCTGTGAGTATCAAACACACGCTCCTTGTTCCTCCTTAGTTTCCTGTGTACCCAGAGTGCTCTCTGTCTCTCCACAGTCGTCTTGTCATTCTCCCCATGTCATTCCCAGCATTTCAGGCAGAGCCTCTTCCTTCCACATAACATTGTTTTCACCTTTGTGCCTTCACGGCTGACAGCTGTGTGGAAAATCCTTCCGCCAATCTTCCAGGGGTTGATCTATTTTTTTCATTAAGGTCACAAGTATTATTTGATCAGTGAGAACTTCTCTGTCACCCGAAATTATACACTCAGCATTATCTATTATTTCTTTTAAAATACGGCTCGGCGCCTTGGCTCACGCCTCTAATCTCAGCACTTTGGGAGGCTGAGACGGGCGGATCCCTTAAGGTTGGGAGTTTGAGATAGCCTGGGCAACATGGTAAAACCTTGTCTGTACTAAAAAAAAATACCAAAAAAAAATTAGCCAGGCGTGGTGGGACATGGGTGTAATCCCAGCCTCTCGGGAAGCTGAGTGTAGAGAATCGCTTTAACCTGGGAGGTGGAGGTTGCGGTGAGCCGAGATCCCGCCACTGCACTCCAGCCTGGGGCACAGAGGGAGACACCGTCTCATAAAAACAACCAATCAATCAATCATTCTCATGCACAGATGCTTCCCAATGGATCATTCATTTATTGGTCCACTGGTGTATTCATTTTCTGCCCTCCCATTTAATCCTTTGCAATATCAGTGTCCAAGAGCAGAGGCCAAATGCACCTTGTTTACCATTTGTGGAAAGGATAAGAATGCCGCCCCACCCCAAAATGTTCCTGTCCTAGTCGCCATATCTTGTGAATATGTTATTTTACATGGAAAAAAGGAATGCAGATTGCAGATGGAATTACGGTTGCTAATCAGCTAACCTTAAAAGGAGGGTATCCTAGATGATTTTAGGGAAATTATGATGGATTATCTTGGTGTTTCCAATAGAATGCCAAAGTCCTTAAAAGATGAGGAAGAAGGCAGAGCAGCATTCAGAGAAAGAGGTGTGGACAAGGAAGAAGGGTCTGAGTGATGCCGTGTGAGAGGCGTGACCAGCCTTTGTGGACTTTGAGGGAGGAAGACGGGGACCAGGAGCCAAGGAATGTGGGAGCCTCTAGGAGCTGGGAAAAGTGAGGAAGCAGATTCTTGCCTGGAACATTCAGAGGGAAGGCAGCCTTGCTGTCACCTTGATTTTAGCCCAGTGAGATGATGCATTTCATACTTCTGAGCTACAGCACCATGAGATATTTTTTAAAAATGTGGTTTCCATCCACGAAGCTTGTGGAAATTTGTTATGGCAACATAGGAAAAAGTTCCACACTGCACAGTCTGAGCATGGGGCAGTGGCTGAACGAGTAAGTGGAAGTGTCATGTGCACGGATGAACTACGTTCTCTCTTACCGCAAAGCTCTTGTTCCACTAAGTCAACCAGGGTTGGATCATGACAGACAGGAGCTCATTCCTTGGCAAGTAGAACTTCTCTACAAACACACCACCCTCAAAAATGTTCCCCTTCCTTCCCCTTCTCAAGCCCCCAGGCATTTGTCCTCCCAGTTAGGAATGCAGGCAGAACAAACACAGCATTTTTCCTGAGAAGAATGTCTGATTTGCACTCATCCTTCTACCCTGAGGTCTCAGCAGCAGAAAATTAGAGATTAAGAGATTTCACTGAGCCCTGTGCTGGGCCCAGATCCCTTTCGCTGTTGGAGTGTCTGGGGTTCAGAGACAATGGAAGACAGGCCCACAATCACAGAGCTGGCAGGTGCTGAGCCAACGCTTGAATCCAAGGCTTCTACCTCCCCAGGTTTCCAAAAGCAGAGATAAGAGGGGTCCTTCACTTACCAGTTTTGAAGCTTGGTTCAGTGGGTGAAGGCCAACTACTAGAAGGGTTTCCTAGAACATGGGACAGGAGAGAGGTGTGGCAATGAGGATGCCTGTCTTTTCTACTCAATGGAAATCTTTGAGGTTGGTTCATGGCCAACCTTCTATTATCTAATGTTGGGCCCTGGGAGTCCTGGCATCCCATTCTCCATAATCATTGTAGGTGACACCAACTATCTTGAGACTTCAAGGTATAAGGAGAAAACAGGAGCATCACACTACCTGACTTAAAAATATGTTACAGAGCTGTAGTAAGCAAAACAACATGACATTGGCATAAAGAAAAGCACATAAAACAATGAAGCAGAATGAAGAACACGGATGTAATCCACCCATTTACATCCAATGGACTTTGACAAAGGTTCGAAGAATCTACAATCTGGAAAGGACAGTCATTTCAATAAATGGTGCAGGGAAAACTGGATATCTACATGCAGAGGGATGAAACTGCACCTCTACCTCTCACCATACACAAAAATCAGATGAAAATGGATTAATGACTTAAGACCTGAATCCATTAAATGTCTAAAAGGAAACACTGGAGAAATGCTCCAGGACATTTGTCTGAGGGAAGACATTTTGTTTAAAACCTCAAAAACACAAGTAATCACAACAACAACAAAAAAAATAGACCATTGGGATTATATCAAATCAAGCAGCTTCTGCACCGCAAAGGAAGCAACCAATGAAGTGAAGAAGAGAAAACCCACAGAATGGGAGCAAATATTTGCAAACTATGCATCTGAGATGGGATTAATAACTAGAATATAAAAGAAGCTCAAACACCTCAATAAAACTAATAATTTAATTATAAAATTAGTAAAAGACCTGAACAGACATTTCTCAATGAACAAAACATACAAATGAACATATATACATTGCATATATGAAAAAGTGCTCAGTATCACTAATCATCAGAGAAATGCAAATGAAGTCACAATGAGCTATCATCTCACCCCATTACAATGGGTTTTATCTCAGAGACAGACAAAACAAATGTTGGCAAGGTGGTGGAGAAAGGAGAACCCTGATACACTGTTGATAGGAATGTAAATTAATACAGCCATTACAGAGGAGAAGAATATGGAAGTTCCTTAAAAACTGAAAAGAGATTAGGCACTGTGGCTCACGCTTGTAATCCCAGCACCTTGGGAGGCTGAAGTGGGCAGATCACTGGAGGTCAAGAGTTCGAGACCAGCCTGGCTAACATGGTGAAACCCCGTCTCTACTAAAAATACAAAAATCAGCCAGGCTTGGTGGCGGGCACCAGTAATCCCAACTACTCGGGAGGCTGAGGCTGGAGAATCACTTGAATCCTGGAGGTAGAGGTTGCAGTGAGCCCAGGTGGTGCCATTGCACTCCAGCTTGGGCAACAAGAGTGAAACGCTATGTCAAAAAAACAAAAAGCATAAAACAAAACCTAAAAAGAGAACATCCAGAGGATCTAGCAATTCCACTAGTGGGTGTAAATGCAAAGAAAAGGACTTCAGTGTATTGAAGTGACATCTGCACTCCCATGACTGTTCCAGCACTGTTCACAGTAGCCAAGATGTGGAGTCAACCTACCTGCCCATCAGTGGATGAATGGATAGAGAGAATGTAGTACATACACACAATGGAGACAACTCATCCATAGAAAGAGTAACGTCCTGTCATTTGCAGCCACATGGATGGACTAGAGGTCATTACAAGGATTGCCATTTCTTACTCACATGCAGGATGTAAAAGGTGGACCTCATGAAGGTAGAGAGTAGAATGGTGGATACCAGAGGTTAGGAAGGAAGGGGTGGAGGGTAACAAAAGAAGAATATAAAAGTATTTATTTATTTATTTATTTAGAGACAGAGTCTCTCTGTGTCACCAGGCTGCAGTGCAGTGGCATGATCTCAGCTCACTGCAACCTCCTCCTCCTGGGTTTAAGCCACTCTCCCGCCTCAGCCTCCCAAGTTGCTGGGATTATAGGCGCCTGGCACCATGCCTGGCTAATTTTATTTTTTTTGTCTTTTTAGTAAAGATTGGTTCCCCCATGTTGGCCGGGCTGGTCTCCAGCCCCTGATTTTAAATGATCCACCTGCCTTGGCGTCTCAAAATGCTGAGATTACAGGCGTGAGCCACCGCACACAGCATATAAAGGTATTTATGATCCCTAGATTTTACACTTAAAAATGGTAAAGTTGATAAATTATATAGGTATATTTAACCTCAATCAGCATTTTTTCAAAGGAAAAGAAAAAGTGTAGGGGTTGCTGGTGATGACATCTCTGTGTAGGTGAGAGGCCAGGGTGGGCTTCTGGGAAATGGGTAAGGTTGAGGGGCTGAGGGAACCTCTGATCTCCCCAAACTGAGCCCAGTCTCCCTCCTCTGGGTCTGTCCTGACCACTTTCTCCATCTGCCTGGGTACCCGGAGCCCTTACTGCAAGCTTCCATGCAGGCCATGCAGGAGGGTTTGGAGGTGCCCTGTCTGCCATCCTGTGCCCTGATCCCACCCTCACACCATGCTGCATCTTCTCTCCACATCTGTCCATGCTTCTCTCCATCATCAGCAGGAAGCTCCTCAGCTAAGGCTCTAGGACCATAGGACATGGGACAGACATTGGCTTTCCTCACCTGTGACAGAAACAGGCAGTGGGTCACTCGCGTCTGACCACTCGTAGGGAGATCCATGGAAAGAGCCGAAGCATCTGTAGGTCTCTCCGTGGGTGGCAGGACCCAGAGGGAAGTCGGCCTGGAATGTTCCATTGATGCTGGGCACTGCAGGGAGCCTAAGTTCATGGGCTTCCCCCTCCCTGGATAGATGGTAGATGTCAAAGGAGCTCTGGGAGCTGCAGGACAAGGTCACGTTCTCTCCTGTGCGAACCGTGGGGCCCGGCCGGGCTGTAAGCGAAGGTTTCTCATATAGACCTGGAAGGAGAAGAGGCAGTTTCCTCAGGGAGGTTCTTCCTTGTCACAGCTCCCCTCCCACCTGAGCTGAGAACTCACTGCCCTGCTCTATGGCCTAGTGCTCTCTCTCTCTCTCTCACCCTCCACCCCCAACTCTTCCTGTCGATCCCTCCCTATGTGGTTCCAGCCTGGTGGTGGCATCAGCAGTGCACCCTTGCTGATCTCAGGGTAGCCAACCTTCTTGTTTGGTTTTTTAACTTGTCCTTCACCTGGGTTCCTGTGTTGGTTTCCTGTTGTTGCTGGAGAAAATTATCACAAACATGGCGACAGGAGAGAACACACTGACCCCTTCCACTTCTGGAGACAGAAATCAGACCCTGTTCTTCCTGGGCTACAATCAATGCATCTGCAGGGCTGCATTCCCTCTGGAGACTCGGGAGAATCAGTTCCATTGATTTCTCCAGCCCCTTCGTGGCTCGTGGTCTTCCTCCACCTTCAAAGCCCACAGTGGCTGGTGGAGTATCCCACGATGCTGCTCTAATCCCCATTCTCCTCTTCCTTCTCCACTCATATGGACCCTTGTGATTACACTGAGCCCAGTGGGAGAGTCCAGGCCATCTCCCCATCTCAAGGTCAACTCATCAACAACCTGAGCTCCATCTTCCCCTTCAGTCCCCTGCCCTATAACATAGTCACAGGCTCCAAGGATTACAATGTGGCCATCGATGGGGACAGTTATTCTTTCCAACACAGCACCCATTCCCCTGTATTCAATCCCCCTTTACCCCAAATATAGTTGGGGCCTGGATGATCGGACTCTGGTGGACACCCCCACCAGAAGCTCTGGGACTCAGGAGGTGGGACAAGGAGAAGCCCAGACAGGAGCCCTCTGACCTGTGACCATGATCACCAGGGGGTTGCTGGGTGCCGACCACTCAGTGGGGGAGTGCGGGTGAAAACCTCGACATCTGTAGGTCCCTGCGTGTGCTGGGGTCACAGGGCTAATGAGGAAACTGTTCCAGAATATTCTGTTGTAGAGCTCAGGGACAGGGACCCCATCTTTCTTGTACAGCGTGAAGATGTTAAACCCACGACGATAGTGACACCGAAGAGTCACGTGTCCTCCTTGAGGCACCACAGCGCTGGGCCAGGCAGAGCAGAAGGGCTTGTCCTGACCACCTTGGGGAGAAGGAGATGCCGCCTCAGAGAGGAGTATGTTGAGCTGCCCCTCCCTCCCTGTGCTCAGAAGATTCTCCCCATTTCTTCTTTCTAAGGCTCCTACCACACCTGGGTGCCTGGGGCTACAGGAAGGACCCATCCCGCATAGACGTGGCGTCTCCCTACAACAAAAGTGTCAGTTGAGAACTGAGCAGGTGCTGAGTAAGGGACTCTTACTAGATTTTAATACTGCAAGATTAGTTACACCAAACAACACAAAGTAGACATGGGGTGGAGGGTATGACCTTTGTGAATGGAATATTAGCTAATGCCTGAACCACAATAAACAACTGAGCTCCATCAGAGGATTTGGAATGGCAGGGTCGTGGCTGTGGTTCCCCCACCTCTTCTGGCAGAATGACAGCAGCCACACTGCAGCCCCTACCGTCATGGAAACGCTGGAGGGTGTGAGTTACCCTCTTGTCCTCAGAGGACCTGCTGTTCCTAACACTGCTACCCTTCCCTCCTCTGTCGGTGACACCACATCCCCCCACACACCCCAGCTTTGAGCACCTCAGTATCCCGCCTGGGCCACACAGAGCTCAACTCAGCCATGGGGAAGAAAGGCTGGGGAGGGCTAAGACAAAACAGAGGGCTGAGCATACCAGGATCTCCTCTTACTAGTTCATGAGAGACTCCCAGGATCTCCTCTTACTAGTTCATGAGAGACTCCCAGGATCTCCTCTTACTAGTTCATGAGAGACTCCCAGGATCTCCTCTTACTAGTTCATGAGAGACTCCCCCCAGGCCTTCCCATGGTCAGCCCATCAGCCCACCCTCTGTGCTGCCTCCCTCCCATTTCCGGAAAATTCACTTGTATTGGGGTGAAGATGGCAACCCATCATTTGGGGAAGGACTCACCCACGTGTGCCCACACACTCTGGTCCAAGAAGAACCCTGCAAAGAAAGATCATGATGAACTATTCATCTCGGCACCAACCTACCCTTTCCTCCTGAGCCACTGGGCGCCACGCTGGACTGAAAATTAACTCATCCTCACCACTCACTTGCTTCAGAACATGGCTCTCTGCTGGGGAGACACCCAATCTGCAGGCCCATAGTGTAACCCTGGTGCTCCTTCCCTTCCAGGACTCACCAAGACATGCCAGGATGATGACCGTGGGTGACATGGACATGGTGCAGCTTCTGCTGCCAGGACGCAGTGACTCGGCTCGACTGACCGGTGCAGAGGATGTGGTGAGGGGCCCGGATCGTGCAGTTGACACATTGACCACAACATGTGAAGGGGACATAGGTAGGCTTCTTCTACGTCATATGAGGTTCAAGTGGTGAGTCAGTCAAGGGAGGAATGAGGGTTTCTGAAAACTGCAGACTAGACTTGTCAGTTCACATCATGCGCAACGGCCAGGCTCAAAACACATCTCAGACTCACTTACCCCTGCACGGGACGATTGAATTCTGCACTCACATGAGGAACTTTTGATGTATTTTTTTTTGTTTCTACCTGAGATTCAAACTCTCCTTGATATGTAATATGCAAAATACCTAATAGGTTTTATTAACACTATAGAGCAATCGTATTAAATAAATCATCATAATTTTCCATGGTTGTATTTTTCCTGTTAAGCCAGAAACAGATAAAATGATTTAAATCCCAGTAGAAAAGACTATATAGTTATTTCGCATCATAGAATTCCACCTTATTAGCAAAAACACAATATGTCAATTGAAGGTCTGGTCGTGTTATCTAGAATTTGTCTTATGACACAAGAGTCCAAATTCACAGTTCCCTGTCTCCCTTTTTGTCTCTCTGTAACGTGTGCTTTTTTTCTCCCTGTGTTGTTTGTGTGTCTTTCTTTCTCTCTCTCATTTGAGGAAAAAATATCAGACTGATAACATCCTCCAACTTGATACTGGAATATTGCAATAACTGAAGGTTGAAATCTACACATTTAATGTGCTGTCATTCTTACAAATGTCTCTTATTTACACCTACCTTTCTGGAGTTTGTAAGAACTTTTTCACTATGCATTTTAAATTTGTAAAACTCATAATTTTTAAAAAGGGATGGGTCTCACTGTTTGCCCAGGGTGGCCTTTACTCATTCTATAAGGCTGGCATCACCCTGATACTAAAGACAGAAAAGAATATTAAACAAAAGAAAACTACATGCCAATATTCCTGATGAGCATAGATGCAAAAATCCACAAAAAATACTAAGAACTGAATCCCGCAGCATATCAAAAAGTGAATCCACCATGATCAAGTCAACTTTATTCTTAGGGTGCAAGGTTGGTTGAACATACACAATCAATACATGTGATTCATCACCTAAACAAAACTAAAAACAAAAACCACATGATCTTCTCAACACACATGTAGAACATACTTTTTACTAAGCATTTCTTCATGTTAAAAGCCCTCAACAAGCTAAGCATTGAAGAAACATAACTCAATATAATAAGAGCCGCCTATGACAAACCCACAACCAACATCATACTGAATGAGTAAAAGCTGGAAGAAGTTCCCTTCATAAGTGAAACAAGACAAGAATGCCCACTCTCACCATCCTATTCAACATAGTACTTGAAGTCCTAGACAGAGCCATCAGGAAAGAGAAAGAATTATAAGGCATCCAAGTAAGAAGAGAGTAGCAGAGAGAGGTAGTCAAATTACCTCTGTTTGAAGATGAGATAATTTCTATACCTAGAAACCCCATAGTCTCTGCCCAAAGGCTCCTACATCTGAGAAACAAACTTCAGCACAGTTTAAGGGCAGAAAGTCAATGTACAGGCTGGGTGTGGTGTCTCAGCCTGAAATCTAGCACTTTGGGAGGGCGAAGCGGGTGGATCACCTGAGGTCTGGAGTTCGAGACCAGCCTGGCCAACATGGCGAAACCCTGTCTCTACTAGAAACACAAATATAGCCGGACGGGGTGGTACGCAACTGTAGTCCCAGCTGCTTGGGAGGCTGAGTCAGGAGAACCGCTTGAACCTGGGAGGCAGAGGTTGCAGTGAGCGGAGATCACGCCATTGCACCTCAGCTTGGGCAACAACAGTGAAACTGCGTCTCAAAAAAAAAGCCAAAACAAATTTAATTAATGAGGAAAAGGGTATTTGTGGTGTCCATCATGATGTTTTCATATAGGTACACATTGTGGAATGGATGAAACAACCTCTTTATCTATTTATTTTTTCACATACTTGTATGTTTTGTGTGTGTGGTGAGAACATGTAAAATCTAATCTCTTAGTAATGTTCAATACACCATATGTTGCTATTAAATGGAGTCACCAAGACATACAATAGATCTCTTGAACCGATTTCTTCTAACTGAAATTTTGCATCCTTTGACCAACATCTCTTCAATCTCTCTCCTTCCCAGGTTCTTTCGACGACCATTTTACTGTTCCTCTAGGTTCCACTTCTTACACTCCACACATGAGATCATGTGGCATTTGTCTTTCTGTGCCTGGATTGTTTCCCTTAACATAATGTCCTCTAAGTTTTTTCACATTGTCACAAATGAGAGGACTTCCTTCTTTGTTGTAAAGGTTGTATAGTACTTCATTACGTTCCTATCGTATACCACGTTTTCTTTGTCCATGCACCCATAGATGGGCAGTAAGGGTGATTCCACATCTTGGCTGTTATGAATAATGCGGCTGTAAACATGGGAATGCAGATATCTCTTCAACATACTGATTCCACTTCCTTTGGATACATGCGCAGTAGTTGGATTGCAGACACATATGGGAATTCTATGTTTAATTTTTTCAGGAACTTCCAGACTGTTTTCCATAATGGTTGTGCTAATTTACATTCCCATCAACTGCATACAAATGTTCCCTTTTCTCCACATCCTCGTTAATGCTTGTTATTTTTTATGTTTTTGATAATGGTCTTTTTTTTTTTTTTTTTGAGACTCAGTCTTGCTCTGTCACCCAGGCTGGAGTGCAGTGGCACAATCTCGGTGTACTGCAACCTCTGCCTCCTGGGTTCAAGCGATTCCCCTGCCTCAGTCTCCAGAGTAGCTGGGACTACAAGTGTGCGCCACCAAACTCTGCTAATTTTTGTATTTTTAGTAGGGATGGGATTTCACCATATTGGCCAGGCTGGTTTCGAACTGCTGACCTCAGGTAATCTCCCTGCCTCGGCCTCCCAAAGTGCCTGAATTACAGGCATGAGCCACCATGCCCAGACTGTTAATGGTCATTCTAAGAGGTGTGAGGTGATATCTCATTCTAGTTTTAATTTTTATTTAGCTGATGTTTAGTAATGCTAATCATTTTTTCATATACCTTTTGGTGATTTGTCTTATTCTTAGAAATGTTTATTCAGATACTTTGCCCATTTTTTTAAGTTGGGTTATTTGATTTCTTACCATTGAGTTGTTTGAGTTTCTTATATATTTTGGATATTAATTCCTTATTAGATGTATGGGTGCAAATATATTCTCCCATTCCATAGGTTGTCTTTCCACTTGTTGAGTTTTTTTTTTTCTTTGCAGAAACTTTCAATTTGATATAATGTTATTTGTCTACTTTTGCTTTTGTTGCCTGGGCCTTTGGGTTAATATCCAAAATGGTTTTGCCCAAGCCAGTGGAGTTTTCCCTTGATTTCTTTTAGTAGTTTTTTTTTTTTTTAAGATGGAGTCTCACTCTGTTGCCCCGGCTGGAGTGCAGTGATGCGATCTCGGCTCACTGCAACCTCTACCTCCTGGGTTCAAGTGATTCTCCTGTCTCAACCTCCCGAGTAGCTGAGATTACAGGCACCCACAACCACACCCAGCTGTTTTTGTATTTTTAGTAGAGGCGGGATTTCACCATGTTGGCCATGCTGGTCTTGGAATCCTGACCTTAGGTGATCTGCCCGCCTTGGCCTCCCAAATTGCTGGGATGATAGTCTTTCACCTTACATTTAAGTCATTAATCTATCTTGAGTTGACTTTGTATGTTTTGTGAGGCAAATGTCCACTTCCATTCTTCTGCATGTCTCCCAATCCCATTTATTAAAGAGACTGTTCCTTCTCCATTGTGTGTTCTTGATACATCCCAAAAATTGTTTGACCCTAAATGCGTGCATTTTTTTTCCTGGGCTATGAATCACTTCCATTGGTCTATGTGTCTGTTTTTATGCAAGTACTGTGTTGTTTTAATTACTGTAACTTTGTAATGTAGTTTGTGTTTAGGTAATGTGATGCTTCCAACTTTGTTCCTTTCCCTCTAGATGGCTTTGGTTATTTGAGATCTTTTGTGGTTCCACATGAATTTTAGGACTGTTTTTTCTATTTCTGTAAAAAAAAATGTCATTGGATTTTTGATAATGGTTGCATTGAATCACTTTGGATAGAATGGACATTTTAACAACATTAATCCTTCTGATCCGTGAACATGGAATATCTTTCGATTTATTTGTTTATTTCTTGAGTTTTTTCATCAATGTTTTATAGCTTTTGCATACAGATCTTTCTACTCCTTGGGTGAATTTATTCCTGCATGTTTTGTTTTCTGTAGTTATTGCAAATGGGCTTATTTTCTTGTAAACTTTTTTGGATAGTTTGTTGTTAATGTATAGAAACTTTGTTGTTGTTGTTGTTGTTGTTGTTTTGATGATACCCATCCTAAGGGGTATGAAATGGCATCTGGTGTAGTTTTAGTTAGTATTTCCCTAATGATTCGTGATGCTGAATATCTTGTCATGCGTATGTTCTTTGGAGAAATGTCTGTTTCAGTACTTTGCCCATTTTTGAATTGAGTTTATTGTGATTGAGTTTTAGGAGTTGTCTGTATATTCTGGATGTTAATCCCTTACAGGTGGTGTGGTTTGAAAACATTTTCTCCCATTCTGTGGGTTGTCTTTTTACTTTGATAATATCGTCTTAAAAGTTCTTTTTCCTTGCCATGTGAAGTAACTGATGTTGTCTTTTGAGTCACAATATTTCAAAATTTTCATAAAGTCTAACTTGTTTATTTTTTCTGTAGTAGCCTGTGCCGTTGTTGTCACATCTAAAGAATCACTGCCAAATCCGATGTTGTGAAGTTTTCCTTTGTGTTTTCTTCTAAGACTTTAATTAAATTTTATTTGTCAATATTTAGGACTGACAAAAGCTTTTTAACATTCCTGGCACCATCTCAGTTATTGATCTACTCCCAAGATGGATCATTTCAATTAAAACATGTAAAGCATGACCTCACCTGAATGTGTTTGAACTTGCTCTTCTCCCTTTCAAATCGACTCCCTCACTTACATAGTTTGTGTTCAAATGTCAACAAATAAAACATAAAAAGAAATCAATCTTTTCATAGACCCTTTATCTAAAATAGAATAGTAGGTGCCATGACATTTCATCCTTTCATCTTGAATTATTTACTTTTCTACATGAACCAATCCATTCTTCTGTGTGCATGTGTGTGTGTGTGTGTGTGTAGTTTATCTGTCTACATATAATGTAAACACCAAAAAATAACAGACATTTAGTAATTTTCAAATGAGACTTCAGGAATTAACAATGGCTTGCCATTTTTAGTGTGTTATTATTATTATATTTAGATGAACAGAATTGCCTCAGGAACATGGCCAGGGGCTCATAGTCCAGGAGAACTGTGGCCTGACTCAGGTACATTTTACCTGCAATAACAGCAATTGCAGGTCACTGGAGTCCATCACAATTGGCTGGAGACAAATGTAAGACAAGAATATTTGCAGTTTCCCCAGACTGACACAGTTGCAGGTTCCCCGAAGTAATGAGTCCTGAGACACCTCCAACAAGAGCTAGAAAAGGTATCACTTCAAGAGGAGTTGCAGCCTACTCATTTTAGACAAATGGAGCAAAATTACAGTATCACATCTTTTCCTTTCTCCTTCATAGAATCTGGATGAACAGAACAGAAAGAGTTAATGGAATATAAGATTCCAATTCTCTGGCATGAGAAAATAGACAAGGAAAGGAAGATTCATCTTCATCACATCTCAGACATGCTTGGACACAGGGTCCAAGCACAAAAGAGAAACACATACTTCTTCCCATCCACACTGGGATCCAGGGTCTTCTCCCTCCTGTCAGGCCAGAACTGAGTCTCCACTCCCCAATTTAGTTCCCAGAGATGAAGCCCAATTTTCCTCTGTCTCAAGCTTTGAAGGCCAGCTTTAGCGTGTTCACCATGGATGAATGAAGGTGAGGTCAGAGGTTTGGGAAATGGTCAAGAATGAGGTGAGAAGAGAGCTGTGGAGGCATGGCCCCGGGGAGCTTGGTACCCCCCCATATCCAGAGCCTGTCTGGTCCAGGAGAGTTCCCAACCCTGTGAGCACCAACTCCGGATATTCTGGGCAGTGACCCGAGGGACAGCCTCTTATGAATACAGGCTGTTTTCCTCCAGTGTCTGCTGTGAAACCAGGATGTACAACATGGCCGTGTTCAACCCAACAATGGACTTAGGATTTTGCTGTACGCCAAAACTCAGTGTCCAACTTCCACTCTGTTTAGCTGGAAAAAGAAGGGGTTTGTTCCCATACATCTCACTCCTGTGTTCCTCTTTCAGTCTCAAAGCTCAGATGAAAACAATGAGTGTCACTTATTGTCAATCCTCTTCCCTGCCTTTTCCACACTCATCAGTATTACCGTTTACATTGAGACTAAAGATGGCCAATCACCACTTTTCTTCGGAAAAATCAACCTGATGTTGTACCTACTTTTTTAGAGGTGGAATCAACCTACCCTAAGATGCCAACTACATTTTACTGAATGGACTTTTGTGGATCCCCTCGATGTATATAGTGGCACCTTGAGGTATCATCCCTGTCTTTAGCAAATGAATATTATCCCAAGGACAATATTTCATCACAATTATTCGGGATGGACGAGTGGATATTGTGGTAGCAAGAACATTACTAAAAGTCACAGCTGATACAACACACTTGAAACCCATCTGGCCAATCTCCCACAGACAGAATGTCGCGCCATTCACTCCAGCCAGCTTCAGTCATGTTTCTTCCATTTCCACCTGTGGCCCCTCATGTCTCCACCAGGTCTTAGCCAGCATTGCCAAAAGAGCCAGGAAGACCAGACCAGCCACAACAATCCTGATGGAACTCTCCACAGTATAGTTCTGGAGAACAGGGGCTGGAGGGTGGGGGTAAGATCAGAGACCTTTCCATGTGGGCCAGGCCCCTCTCTCCCCAGAAGCTCTGAAATGGAGCTATTTCCCCATCTCACCTTCATAAAATTCTTCCTGTCCAGAACCCCTCTTCTCCCTATATCATCATGAGCACCTTCAGAAGTCTTTTGCCACAAAAAGAAATTTCTTTTGAAGATATACATTTTTTTGTACATTTCAAAAATGTTCCCAAACTAATTCTCCAAAGCAATAAATGTTTGTGTGTATTGCTGGGTAGGTTATGCATACAAGGAAAGGAAGCATAGTGAGTCTGATTTGGCAGAGGAAACATATGTGGAAATTATATCATTTACTCTCTTTACAAAATTAAGTACAAAATTGAAAACACTGGTAAGAAAGAATGAGCTATAGAGAAAGAAAACATCTGAGATGCTTGTTTCCAAGATGGCTGACTAAATGCTTTTCTGGCATGTCTCATCCACTTAGAAGAACGAGCAGAATCCAGAACAAAAACCATATGATCATCTCAATAGACATAAAGAAAAGCATCTGAAAAGAAATTCAACATCCTTACCTGATGAAAACCCTCAAAAACTTAGGCATAGAAAGAACATACCTCAAAATAATAAAAGCCATAGATGACATATCTAGAGTCAACATCATACTGAACAGGAAAAGTTAAAAGCACTCCTCTGAGAACTGGCACAAGACAAGGACACGGACATCCACCACTTCCTATCAACATAGTACTGGAAGCCTTGTCAGAGCTATTGGGCAACAGGAAGAATTAAAAATCCAAATTAGAAAAGAGGAAGTAAAATTATTTTTATTTCTGATGCTATGATCTTAAATCTAGAAAATCCTAAAGACCCTGCCAAAAATTCTTATGATTGATAAATGAACTAAGTAAAGTTTCAGAATACAAAATCAATATGTAAAAGCCAGTAGCATTTCTCTACACCTATAATGATCTAGCTGAGAACCAAATCAAGAAGGCAATGCCGTTTACAATAGATACGCAAAATTAAAACACTCAGGAATACATTTAACCAAGGTGGTGAAAGAGCTGTACCAGGAAAGGTGTAAGACACCAATGAAAGCAATTATAGATAATACAAAAAAAAAAAAAGAAAAAAAATCCCACGCTCATGGATCATAAGAATTAATATTGTTAAAATGACCATACTGCCTAAAGCAATCTACAGATTCAGTGCAATTCTTATATGAAAATAGTAACACCAGCTTTCACAGAATTAGAAAAAGCAATCCTAAAATTCATACAGAACCAAAAAAGATCCTAATAGAGAAAGCAATTCTAGGTGAATGTAGAAACCTGGAGGCATCACGCTATCTGACTTCAAACTATGCTCTAAGGCTATAGTAACTTAAATAGCACAGTGCTGGTATAGACACAGAAACAGAGATCAATAGACCAGAATAGAGAGCCCAGAAATACAGCCTCATATCTACAGTGAATAATCATTGACGACGTTAACAAAACATACACTGGAGAAAGATTTCCTTTTCAATAAAAGGTGCTGGGAAAACTAAATAGCCATATGCAGAAGAATAAAACTGGACCTGTATCTGTAATCATACACATAAATTAACTTAAGGTAATTAGCAGCTTAAATGTAAATCCAGAACTATAAAATCACCGGTGGAAACCCAAAGAGAAACTCTTCTGGGCATTGGTCTGGGCAAAGAATTCATCACTAAGACCTCAAAAGCACAGGCAATAAAAATAAAACTAGACCAATGGGACTTAATAAACGAAAGAGCTTCTGCCAAGCAAAGGAAATAGTAGCAGGGTGAACAGACAACCCACAGAATGAATGGAAATGTTTGCAAACTATGCACCCAACAGAGGACTAACATCCAGAATTTCTAGGCAACTCAAACAACTAAACATAACCCCTCAAATAATAGCATTAAAAAGTGGGCAAAGGGATATACATAGACATTTTTCAAAAGAAGACATACGAATGGCCAAACAGCGTATGAACATCACTAATCATCAGAGAAATGCAAATTGAAACCACAATGAGATATCATCTTACAGTAGTCAGAATGGCTATTACTAAAAATGCTGGTGGGGAGTGGTGGCTCACGCTTGTAATCCCAGCACTTTGGGAAGCTGAGGCGGGTGGATCATGAGGTCAGGAGTTTGAGACCAGCCTGACCAACATAGTGAAACCCCATCTCTACTAAATATACAAAAGATTAGCTGGGCATGGTGGTGTGGTTCTGTAATCCCAGCTACTCAGGAGGCTGAGGCAGGAGAATCATTTGAACCTGGTTGGTGGAGGTTGCAGCGCGTGGAGATGGCGGCACTGCACTCCAGCCTGGGTGACAGTGGAAGACTCCATCTCAAAAAGAAAAAAAGAAAAAGTGAAACATATAACAGGTGTTGGCAAGGATGCAGAGAAAAGGAAACTCTTATACACTGTTGGCCGGTATGTAAATTAGTATAGCCTCTATGGAAGACAGTATGGAAATTTGGCAGAGAACCAAAAATAGAAGCACCATTCGATCTAGGGGTCCCGCTGCTGGGTATCTACTCAAAAAATACCTGCACCTGTATGTTTATTGCAGCACTGTTTGCAATAGCAAAGATATGAAATCAATCTAAGTGTCTGTGAATGAATGATTGGATTAAAAAAAGGATGCGTGTATACACAACGAAATACTATTTGGTCATAAAAATAAAACCATGTCTTTTGCAGCAACATAGATGGAGCTGGACGCCATTATTTTACATAAAACCACTCAGAAAGACAAATACCACATCTTCTCACTCTACATGGGAGGGGAGTAATGTGTACATATGGACGTAGAGTGTGGAATGACGGACAGCGGAGGCTAGAAGGCTGGAGGGTGGCGGGACGTGGGTGAGTGATGAGAATTTGCTTAATGAGTACAATGTACGGTATTTGGGTGATGGATATAGTAAAAGTCCTGACTTCACTACTCTGCAACATACTCATGTCACAAAATTACAAGTGTACCTCATAAATTTATACTAATAGAAAAGAAAGTCTGTACACAGTAATCAATTGTGATATGTAGATAAAGTCAATATTAAATTTAAACCAGAATAACTAGTTAAAATGTTGTGTACACAACAGTGAAGAGAGTATTTATCCTCTATGACAGAGGAAACCATCAATATTAATGCACAGAAAAAGCAAATAACTGAAACAAGAAAGAGCAGTTTTGTGACAGGGTAAAAATTGACAACAGTTTTAGAATGCTCCTAACTTGAGTTCCAAAAAGAAAGAACGAGAAAACAGGTCAGAAGCAATCTTTAAAGAGGCAATTGTTGATTATTTGGAGGAAGTAGACACATCCATCAATCCACAGGTTCAAGAAATCCAGTGAATGCCAGGCAGAATGAAGTAAACACACCTCACGTTCAACATTACAGAAAAGCAGCATAAAAGCACAACCAACCCTTAAAATTAGCCAGAGGAAAAGGATCAGCTGGTAAGGATTTATAGGGAGCCAAGCATTGTCTTCCCCACAGAAAAAAGGAAAACATAAGCCAGTAGAATAGCATCTTTACCCAGCTAAGATACCGTCGCCAGCCACCGACAATTCCTTACATAGTACAGTTACTGTCCAAGATCAACGCAGGAAAGAAACAGAACTGAAAGACAAAAGGGCAAAGAAAGCTTTTCTCACTGACCCTAAAGGAAATTCTGATGACCGTGCCTCAAAGATAAAGAAAGTGAAACCAGATGGGGTGTCGAAGATTCTGACAATAACTAAGAGCAGAGGAAGAACTAAAAATATGGCTATGCCAAAAATGAATATGGACCATACGATAGTGTATGAAAACACGCCCCTGTGTAATTTCTGAAAAAGATAGAATTATGTATACCACAAAACAAAACATCATATAAGTAAATACAAACATATGTACTAAATATGCTCTAAAATCCTGTTCTTACACAGGAAGAGTGGAAATATGTTTTTATATTTGCAGTTTAATCTCTGAAATGATTAATTTCAATTTTAAAAATATGTAACAACTTCAGGATGAGTACACCATATATGTATTCCTAAACGACATAGATCAAAAATAGAATGTTTGAAATAGAAAACCACAGAAGTCAGTGGGAAAAAAAGGGAATCAGGAAAACACAACGTAATAATAACAAAAATATGATTGGAAGAACTGCTCAAACATGAACAAAAGATTGTCAGAAAGTCTTACTTTCTAAGGCGAATTGTTTGAAATTTACAAAGGACACATCTCAATGTTAACAATTCATGGAGTTTGAAATTAAACAATGTAGAAATATACCAAGCAATCACTGTTAGAAATGTGGTATAACTATATTAAAATTAGACAAAATTAGTCTTTGGGAAAAATCAGCGGAAAACATTAAGCATAAAATGTAGGAAAAAAGCAGGTAAATTTATAGCATTTTAAATTTACCAGGAATATATAATCAGTTTACACTTAACCACTCCCAGTAATATTCCTGCAAATATACATGGAGGAAGAGTCGCGGAAATAAATGGACAGGTAGGCAAATCCACGGCCACAGTGGGGTGTTTAACACTCCTCTTTTCTCAGTTGTTGATAGAAGTGGTTCAGGCAATTAGAGAGGATTTAGAAAGATAATTGCTGGACCTGACCCAAGGTATAAGTCCACTCCCAACCACAGGACTCACTTTCCTTACAAGCACAAGGGCATTTAGAAATCTCTCTGGATTCTGACCAGCCCTCACCATATGGCAGGTCCATGGACTTCTTGGAACACACCAAGCTCATTCTCACATTAGGGTCATCCCCAATGTCCTAAGTCCATGAAAGTTCCTTTCAACACACTCCCCAGGGCTCACTCCCTCTTGTCTCTAAGATCGGAGTTTAAATGTGATCTCTCTGATGAGGTCTCAGTGAGACGTTCCCTCCTGTACACTCCAAATGACAACGTTCCACGTTCATTCATTTCATTCTGTGCATGGCACTTTCACCAAGTGCTAAGGATTCACTCACTAATTCATACATTCATTCATTCATTCATTCACTCATTCCATCATTCACTCATTCATTCATTCTCTCATTCATTCATTCATGTTCTGCCTCTCTCTCCCACCCCACAGCAATGTGAGCATCATGAACCCAGGAGCTTGGCCGTGCTGTCTACTCCTGGCCATGAAACAGAGAGAACTGATGGTAGGTGTGAAATAAATATTAGATGAATGAGTTAGTGAAGGGGTCATTTACTGGGTGAGCTCAGTTCTCTCTACTCTAATGCCCTCCCTCGGCTGACTTCCCTGAGTTGCCCCCTCGGCTGAGTGAAGTCCCTTCACTGGCAAATGGAACCTCAACCAGTAGCACCTAGGTGGTCTCATACTTTGTTCTTTCCCTCTCCTCTTGCTCCCTAAGGATTATCAATCTCCATGACAGGGCTGGAGAGCAGACAAGCCACACATTCTTTCTGGGGAGAGAGTAACATGGAGTACAAGGCATTCCACATTTAGGAAGAGAACTCAGTTATGGAAGGTCAGAAATGAAAAGTTCCTACAGACCAACACCCAGGTTGGTGGCCACAGCCCTAAATGCTGATGGAGAATCACTGCAAGTCTGTAGGGAAGATGTCTGGCTTGAGGCCACTGAGCGAAGTGGCAGATCCTTCTCAGCCTTCAGTGCTGAGCCTCTGTCCCCTCAGGGATCCACTGACCAATGAGAAGAGCCTCTTCTCATCTCCTGGGATGGAGCTTGGGGCCCCTGGCGAAGGAATGGGCCTGTTTCCACCTGTCATGTTGTCATCTAGCTTGGAAATCCTGCGAGTCCCAGGGAGGCCCTCCCCGAGTCCCCAGAGAAGACTCCCCCACTGAGTCTCCAAGGTGTGGAGAGAGCAAAAAACATCTAGGGTGGAAAATGCCTCCCATCAAGAGACATTGGGGCTCCCCCAACGATGGTTGCATCTGTGCCCCCCATGTGGAAATCACTCTTTGGTGAGAGGTGGGGGCTTCTGGAAATGGGCAATGGCGGGCGGCCAATGCTACCTCTAGTCTTTCCAATCTGAGCCCGGCCTTTCATGCTCCTGAGTCAGCATTGATGCTGTTTACATGTGTCCCAGGTGGGCTTCTGTACAAAGACTGGGAAGTGGTTTATGTGGCCTGTGCTCTATCTGCAAGCTTCAGGTAGGGTTGCAGTTACCACCCCAAACCCTAATGTGATCTGTCTGCCTCGCTCTGTCTGTCTGTCTATGCCTCTTTCTGTATGTTTGCTTTGTGTCTCTTCTGTCCAGCATCTCTGGCTGACACCCCCATGGCCACCCCCTCCATCTGAGGCTCCCCTGAATGTGGCCATTGTAGTCCATCTGAGTCCCACTATTTGGGGAACAGACTGGTTTCCTCACCTGTGACAGAAACAAGCAGTGGGTCACTAAGGTCTGACCACTCGTAGGGAGAGTCACGGAAAGAGCCGAAGCATCTGTAGGTCCCTCCGTGGGTGGCAGGGCCCAGAGGAAAGTTGGCCTGGAAGGTTCCATTGACCTTGGGCACTGCAGGGAACCTAAGTTCATGAGCCTCCCCCTCCCTTGATAGATGGTAGATGTCATAGGAGCTCCGGGAGCTGCAGGACAAGGTCACGCTCTCTCCTGCCTTAACCATGGGGCGCGGCTGGGCTGAGAGAGAAGGTTTCCCACATAGACCTGGAAGGAGAAGAGGCAGTTTCCTCAGGGAGGTTCTTCCTTGTCACAACTCCCCTCCCACCTGAGCTGAGAACTCACTCCCCTGCTCTATGGCCTAATGCTCTCTCTCTCTGTCTCACCCTCCACACCATCTCTCTTTATGTCTATTTCCTCTTTCCACCTTCTCTGTCTCTCTAGGTCTCTGACCTCACTTTCTCACCTCTAGATATGTTTTCCCTTTTTGGATTGTTTTATTCTCTCTGACTCTCCTTGGACTAGTTGACTTGATGTTACTTTTTTTAAATTCTGAGTTTCTCACTTTGTGTCCTGTTCATAACTTTCTGCATATTTCTATCTATTATCTATCGATATATCTATTTATCTATTTGGTGCCTATCTACAAATTCTCTACCTGTCATCTATATCTATATATAATCTATTTATCTATCAATTGTCTATCCAAAAATCATCTATTATCTATATCTATGTATCGTCTCTCTCTCTCTATGATTTCTCTTTGTCTGCCTCTCTATCTCTATGTATTATCTATCTATCTTCATCTTCATCATCTCTATGTATCATCGATTAATCAATGAATGAATCAATCATCATCTATGTATCTTTAACCTATTATCTATCATCTA
The DNA here is from genome assembly GCF_000001405.40 of Homo sapiens. Classification (NCBI taxonomy): domain Eukaryota; kingdom Metazoa; phylum Chordata; class Mammalia; order Primates; family Hominidae; genus Homo; species Homo sapiens. Next base: position 90,971 of record NW_016107313.1, on the reverse strand, counting down.
CCTATTTATCATCTATCTATATCTATCCATCTATCATCTGTCTTGCTCTGCCTCTCGGTCTCTCTAGTTCTCTTTGGAATCTCTGCAATTCATCCCCACATCTCCATCTTTCTATGTCCTTGTGTCTCTCCCTCAGGACTCTAATTTTAGTGCTTTTCTCTGTTCCCTTCCATTGTTCTCTCCACTTCTCTGCCCTCTTTTCTCCCTCTTTATGTGTCTGTGAGTCTCTCAATCTCCTTCCTCTGGCTCATTCTCTGTGTGTTTATGTCTTTGCTTTTTGGTGTCCCTGATTTCTCTCTGTGTCTCTCAGTGATCCTCTCATATGTGGGGTTATTTGGAATGTGAGCCTCAGAATCCAGTCTGGGGACCGCAAGTTCACACAGTATACAGGGGTTGATGTTCTGGGGCCATGATATCCTGGGACGATTACTCTCCATTGCATGGAAGGCAGAGGTGTCAGAATAAACACGGCATCTGTAGGTGCCAGAAGGCCTGAGGCCACAGGGCCCAACTCAGGCCAGAAATATGGGTGTCCTTGGGTTCTTCTGGTAGAGAACACTTTGTGGAAGTAAAACAGAAATGAAACTTCTAACCTGTGCCAGGTCTCTGAGCAAAGTCAGCATGGAAGGACACCTCTCTCTGGCACATGTCTGTCTGTGTCTCCTTTAACTCTTTCTGTCTTTTCTAACTCCCTGTATGGCCCCTGTGTCTGTCCTCTGTTATGACACCTGGTCTGTACTTGTGTCTCCTGTTTCTCTGTCTCTGTTGGTACAGACCTCACCAAGTTAGTCTCTCTCCATAAGAATACCAAGCTCATCTTCCTTATAACCACCTGGGCCTCCAAGTCGTGGATCATTCACTCTGTGTCCCAGTGACAATGAGAATAATGTCCAGACACTCTCACCTGTAATCACGATGTCCAGAGGGTCACTGGGAGCTGACAACTGATAGGGGGAATGAGGAACAGAACCGTAGCATCTGTAGGTCCCTGCAAGGTCTTGCGTCATGCGACCGATGGAGAAGTTGGCCTTGGAGACCCCATCATGGAGCTCTCCAGTGAGGCGCAAAGTGTCATTAAACGTCCCCTCTCTGTGCAGAAGGAAGTGCTCAAACATGACATCTGACCAACATTGCAGGATGACTGTCTCTTCTGATTTCACCAGGGGACCTGGGTGGGCCAGGAGGGAAGGTTTTCTGTGGACTCCTAGGAAGAGAGGTTGTGACTTTAGAAGGCATCTCTCTTTATCATCCCATCCATGGCACCTAGAATGAGTGAGGCTTCCCCTCGCTGGTGTCTTATCTCTCTCCTTCCTCTCTGTGTCTTCATGTTCTTTTCTGTGCCCATAACTCCTGGTACAGGTCCTTCCATCTGTCTCCCTCCCTCTTCTCTGTCCCTCTGTCTCTAGTAGCTCCTGATTCCCTTGCCGCTGGGCTCAGCCTCATCTCTTGGGCTGTTGTATCTATTTCGAACTAATGTCTTTCCTGCTTCTATGTGGGGGTGGAAGAGGAACCAGGATAGGCTGCACGTCCAGGCTCTTAGCAGACTGGTTCAATCTCTTTTGGACGATTTGGAATCCTTGGCAGAAGGTATGAACTGATCAGTAAGGCAGGCACCAGTGTCCACACACCCTGTTCCTGGTGGGGACTGGGAGCCACTCTTGCCATGCCTGTGCCTTCTCCATGGTGCCAGCTTCCATAGGCTGGCTTCTGGTGCTGGTTTGAGGAGTATCAACCCCTCCCTATGTGGATGGAGCCTGGTGGTGGCATCATCATCCCACCCTTGCTGATCTCGGTGTAGCCAACCTTCTCTTTGTTTGGTTTCTTTAATTAATTAATTAATTTTGGAGTCAGAGTCTCACTCCTTCACCCAGGCTGGAGTGAAGTGGTGTGGTCTAGGCTCACTGCAACCTCTGTCTCCTGGGTTCAAGTGATTCTCCTGCCCTCAGCCTCCTGAGTTGCTAGGATTACATGCACCTGCCACCACGCCCGGCTATCCTTGTGTCCTTTCTTATCTTGTCCTTGACCTGGGTTCCAGTGTTGGTTTCCTGTTGGTGCTGTGGAAAATTATCAGAAGCATGGCAGCAGGAGAGAGCACACTGACCCCTTCCGTTTCTGGAGACAGAAATCGGACCCTGTTTTTTGAGGGCTAAAATCAAGGCATCTGCAGGGCTGCGTTCCCTCTGGAGACCCAGGAGAATCAGTTCCTTGACTTTTCCAGCCTCTATAGGCCACCTGCATTCATGGCTCATGGCCTTCCTCCACCTTCAAAGCTGATGGAGACTTCCATTGCACTGCTCTAATCGCCACTCCCCTCTTCCTTCTCCTCTCATGTGCACCCTTGTGATTACACTGAGCCCAGCAGGACAGTCCAGGCTGTCTCCCCATCTCAAGGTCAACTCAACAACCTGAGCTCCATCTTCCCCTTCAGTGCCTTCCCCTATAACATAAATAGTCACAGACTGCAGGGATTAGAATGCAGTCATCATTGGGGACAATTATTCTTTCCACCACAGCACCCATTTCCCTGTATTCAATCCCCTTTTACCCCAAATACAGTTAGGGTCTGGATGATGGGACGCTGGTGGACACTCCCACCAGAAGCTCTGGGACTCAGGAGGTGGGACAAGGAGAATCCCAGACAGGAGCCCTCTGACCTGTGACCATGATCACCAGGGGGTTGCTGGGTGCTGACCACCCAGTGAGGAAGTGTGGGTGTGAACCCCGACATCTGTAGGTCCCTGCATGTGCTGGGGTCACAGGGCCTATGAAAACGGTGTTTCGGAATACTCTGTTGTAGAGCTCAGGGACAGGCATCCCGTCTTCTTTGGACAGACTGAATTCGTTAAACCCAAGACGAGAGCGACACTGAAGAGCCACATGTTCTCCTTCAGACACCACAGGGCTGGGCCAGGCAGAGAGGAAGGGCTTGTCCTGACCACCTGGGGGAGAAGGAGGCGCCACCTTAGAGAGGAGGATGTGGCACTCCCTCCCTCTATTCCTTTCCAGGACTCACCAACACACGCCATGCTGACGACCATGAGCGACATGGTGCTGCCCGGGTGCCAGACAGGCCGAGGCCGCGCGCCTTACGGCCATGCGTACAGGCTACTCATAGTGACAGCGGCCTACCTGAGAGGGATGCTTGCGACACGCTTCTGGCTGACGTACCTTGTTCTCACTAGAATTGGCACCTCACGTCCTTCACTATGACCAACTCACAACACGTCTCAGATCCAACCTCCCGAACACAAGATGCCTAAAATCTGTGCTAACGTGAAAGACTTTTCATGTATTTTTATCCGAACACGAGATGCCTAAAATCTGTGCTAACATGAAAGACTTTTCATGTATTTTTTTTGTTTTTATCTGAGATTCAAACTCTTCTTCCTGTGTAATATGCAAAGTATCTAATAGGTATTATTAATGTTTTCGGAGTCATTGTGACTAATAAACCATTAGAATTTTTCATGCTTGTATTTCTAGTATTACAGCAGAACCAGCTAAAATGATTTAAATTCCCAGGGAAGGATTATGCAATTATTTACAATCTTAGAATTGTACTTTATCAGCAAAAACCACACCTGTAAATTCTGGAGTTTTGTAGTTTAATCTAAAATTTGTCTCATGACCCAAGATTCCAGAGTCCCAACTCTGGAGTTTGCTCTCTGTCTGTCTCTCTCCCTCCCTCGTTTTAAATTTTACAGAAATATCCAGTAACATAATGCTATAGAAAATCAAGTTTTCCCCAGCACGTTGGGAAGCCGAGGTGGGCGGATCAACTGAGATAAGGAGTTTGAGAGCAGCCTGGCCAATATAGTGAAACCGTGTCTCTGTTAAAAATCCAAAAATTAGCCGTGCCTGGTGGCAGGCACCTGTAACGCCAGCTACTCAAGAGGCTGAGGCACGAGAATCGCTTGAACCTGGGAGGCGGAGGTTGCAGTGAGCTGAGATTGTGCCACTGCAGTCCAGCCTGGGCGACAGAGCAAGACTCCGCCTCAAGAAAAAAAAAGCAAACAGCCTATAATAACAAATTAGAGGGCTCTGGCTACTAAATTTAAAGGGTTCTATAAGGCTACATAAAGTGCAGCATCATCAAGAGTGTGGACACAGAGAGCCCCTTAGCAGAAACAGTGTCTAAAATACATCCATGTACACACAGTCCCTTTAGAGTTGACAAAGGCTGCCGTGTGGTTTAAGGTGGCATAGAATGTCTTCTCAATAAATAATATTAAACCAATTGGTTACACCTAGGAAAAAATAAATCTAACTCACACTATAAAAACACTTCTTAGTTTTTATCTAGTTGTACATTTTTTATGATTTATATTTAAATTTGAGAAATAAAAGTCATATACGGTCATCCTTCACTATTCGTGGGTGATTGGTTTTGAGATCTCCACTCAGATACCAAAATCTGTAGATGCTCAAGCCTCTTATATGAAATGGCACAGCGTTTGCAAATAACCTATGCACATCCTCCTGTATACATGAAATCATCTCTAGATTACTTATAATTCCTGATACAGCCTACACACAGCTTCATTTGTGTCCATTCAACATAGTTATGCTTTTTGAAACTCTGTGGATACTTTCTCTCAATATTTTTGATTTATACTTGGTTCAATAAACACCTGTAAACCCCGCAGATATGGAGGAGTGACCGTATATTTATATTATGAAAGATGATGTGTTGATATGTGTCCCCATGGAGATGAGACTAACAAGGCCTATGATTCTACAAATGTTTCATTGTGGAATGACTCTGCCAGCTTTCCAGGTCTGCAGAGAGTAAGAGTATCACTTGTTCATATGATTCGTGATCCTTGGAACCTCCTATGTGCTACATCTTTGGATGGAAATTGGAGTCCCAGAGACAAATGAGGCTCCACCCTGCTTCCAGAAACTCAGAGTCCGGGGATGAGAACTCAGTGGGGAACAGATGGGATTATATGGACATGGTACTGATAACACCGGAAGCCTTAGGCAAGAAAAGAGTCCCATTACCGAAACCATGGGGGCAGACATGTTTATTTGAAGGATGGAAAACTACATTGAAGTTATTTTAAAAAATATATAAGTTTTACTGCTGACAGAAGACTGAAAGCTAGTCTGAGGGGAGGTGGAACAGCATGAGGGAAGGTGGAACAACACGTGTCTAAGTGCTGCGTTAAGAGGGAGCCTCTTGTATGTTTGGAATTGTGAGTTCCTCAGTGTGATTGCAGCCTCAAGTAGACTAGGAAGTAAGCCAGTTAGGTTGGAGAGGTGGGCAGGGGTCAAGTGAAATGGAGAACTGTGGGCTAAGCAAAGGAGTGTGTTTTTTCTCCAGCAGGCAGTGGGGACCTTAGACATTTGTAAGCAAGTGAGAGGCACATTCAGATTTGTGGTGTGAGGAAGATCGATGCCCTAAGATGCAGACTCATGCCTTCAGATTCCAGCTGCTGGTACATGGGAGCTGGCAACCCGGTTTTGAGACAGGGCTGTTGTCTCCCTAGAAGACGCCCTCAAGGCCTGACTGTGGTGCTCATGGGCAGGAGACAACTTTGGATCTGGACTCAGCATTTGGAAGTTCCGTGTACACGATGATATCTGTTGGGGGTGTCTTGGGCCTCTGAGAAGGGCGAGTGATTTTTCTCTGTGTGAAAACGCAGTGATTCAACTGTGTGTATGTCACCTCCTGAGGGTCTTGTTCATCAGAGTCCTGGAGAGAGGGAAATGCTGAGTGAGGGAGGGTGCTCACATTTTCCAGGACTCTTTGGGAATAACAGTAGCCACGAGCCCGGGCCGAGGAGTACCTACCTCGCTATTCGCTGTTCTGTTTCCTGCAGACTCTTGGTCCATTACCGCAGCATCTGTAGAAGACGGAAGTCAACAAAACAGCTCGGAGGGCACTTCTGGGTCCTCATTTCATAAGCAGATACCAACATACAGGGGGAGACCATAGGTGGCTGAGGTCCCTCAGTTGCCAACAGCAGACTCAGACATTCTATCTCTCTGAGCTCAAGGACCCATCCCATGAATAGCTCTGAGTTCCCATCCCATTGATTCTGTCTCCCACTTTCTGCCTGTCATGGAACCTTCTCCTGGATGTGAGTGGCTGCAGGGGACATGAGGATACAGTTCAGAATCAGGCAACGGTCTGTGAGTTGAAGGCAGGGACAGGGAGTCTGGTGCCCTCTCTAGAAAGTCCTGCCTCTGTGGCTGCTGCCTTGGGCCAGGGACCATCCTGTTTGTGAGGAACACACACCTGAGTGCTCCCATCCTGCTTCCCCACATGGCCCTGAGCTCTCTGGCCTCTGCTTCGTGAGACTTACTTTTTTTGTTGGAGCACCAGCGATGAAGGAGAAAGAAGAGGAGGATGAAGAGGATGATGACCACTGAGGTCCCAATCAGAATGTGCAGGTGTCGGGGGTTACCTGGAAGAAGATGAGACACCAATAAGAAGCTAATCTTAGCAGTTCCTCTTTATGAATTGTCTCGCATTTCTTGATTGACAGGTAACCACATAAAACACCTCTTTAGGACAAGCACCCAGATGGCAGGAGACCCAGCTTTCTCCTGCTTTTTCAGTTATAGCTCTCATAGTAACCATAGAACGTGCTGAGGATACGACTACTTTAGTTGAGATGTTTGACCCCTTCAAACCTCACATTGAAATTTCACCCCCACTGTGGGAGGTTGGGCCTCTTGAGAGGTGTTTGGGTCATGGAGGTGGATCCATCATGAACACATCAATGCTGTCCCAAGGAGACGGGGTTAGCAAGTTCCCCCTCTATTAGTTCCCGGAGAGCTGGTTGTTAAAAAGAGCTTGGAAGCTCCATCACTCCCCCTCCCCCTTGCTCCCTCTCTTGCCGTGTGATCTCTGTGGTCTCTGCACAGACAGACCCTCCTTCCCTTCTGCCAGAGTGGGAGCAGCCTGAGGCCGTCACGAGAAATAGATGCTGGTGCCATGCTTCCAGTACAGCCTGCAGAACGGTGAGGCAAACCAATCTCTTTTCTTTAGAAGTTACCGAGGCTCAAGTGTTCCTTTAGAGCAACAAAAATGGCCTAAGACAGCAACTTCCTGAGATCAGGAGGAACGTCTCAGAACACCCTGGGCTGTCTTCCTGTTCTTCCTGGAGGACGTCATGCAGTGCTTTAGCTGAGTGCTTCCTGTGGCTCCAGGGTACAAAACCCAGGCTGGGCTGCTTTCTGGCTTCCCCCAGCTACACTGCAAATGGGGTGACTCCATATGTCCCGAGCAGCTTTTCTGAGCCTTGAGGGACTGGGTCACATTGAAATATAGGTTTCTGTTGTCACTCGCTGCTTATCTGTTAGTAATGAACCTGCCTATGTAACGTATTCTCTGTGTGTTCTGTCTCCCTGGAGTGACGGTGAGTGATAGGAATTGGCATAGGCCCAGGTGCAGTCCAGGAGGTGTTTAGAGTCTTCTCTGGGAAGACTGGACTGGGATTGATTCACAGCGAATGTGCTTTAGGGTTTCTACATCCACAGCATTCTTGAATCAAACAACTTGCATTCTCCAAGGAAAGAAAACAAAAGTGAAATCAAGATAAAAAAAGCGAAATAGAATTCTCTTATGTCAAACGGCCAGGAAATAGTGTTGAAGCCCGTGTGAAACCTGCTGCTCTTTGTGATCTCGGGAGACACATATTAGGCTGCTGTTCTACCCGAGAGGCTGGGGGAAGGACCACCCCCTCGGCCATCTATTGCTTCAAAACCACCTGTCCTCCTGTGAATTAGTAGGAAAGGGGAGCAGGAGCTAGTGCTGTCGCTGATCTCTGATTCCAAGATCTGGACTCACTCCAAGGAGTGTTAATGTTTACCTCCCCATGGTCTATCTGAATCTCCACAGGTGATTGGAAGTAGGGGTGAGGTGGGGGATTTGGGTGAGTGGGCAAGTTTTTTTTGTGATGACCAGAGCACTTTCTCTATTCCAGGATCTGTGCTGGAGGATTCAGCGGGCTTTCACATTTTCTATATGATCTCATGCTCACAGAAAGCCAAATAGGGAAGAGGTTTTAGGCTCATTGCCTAATGGATAAGATAAAGGATCAAAGAAGTAATTATAGAGAAATAGAAAAATCATGATTGGAATTCAGGTGCCTTTGTCATTCGTGTGTGTTTTATTATATTTATGTATTTCTTATTTTTATTTTTTGAGATAGAGTCTCCTTGTGTCCCCCAGGCTGGAGTGCAGTGATGCAATCTCCACTCACTGCAACCTCCACCTACTGGGTTGAAGTCATTCTCCTGCTTCATCCTCCAGAATAGGAGCTGGGATTACAGGGATGCACCATCGTGCTCGGCTAATTTTTGTATTTTTAGTAGAGATAGGGTTTCACCACGTTGGCCAGGCTGGTCTGGAACTCCTGACTTCATGGAATCCACCCACCTTGGCCTCCTGCAGTGCTAGGTTACAGGTGTGAGCCACTGTTCACAGACTTGTATATTATGCTATAATAAGTCTCTTCATTTCCACCACCACTCATATATCTGTCACTCCTTTGCCAGGTATTGATTTATGTGTAGGATGAATAAATCTCAGAAAGAAATTAATTAAGTGAGGATTAAACAAGTAGGAAAATCAAACCCAGTAAGCCTTTCCAGTCAATGATTCTACCTCACAAACATATCTTATATCCATCTACTTCATTCATTTAGTGTCTAAATCAGCACCACATTTCACCAGTGGGGCGGCAATTGCCTTTTCCACGGTCTCCTAGATTCCAGTTATGCACCTGGGCCTCCCTTATTTTCATGTCAGTCATATTAATCATGTAGGGATTCCTGGTTACCCCGAGGTGAATCCAATGGCTGTGAGTGTCAAGCACACACTCCTTGTTCCTCCTTAGTTTCCTGTGTACCCAGTGTGCTCTCCGTCTCTCTACAGTCGTCTTGTCATTCTCCCCACCTCATTCCCAGCATTTGAGTCAGAGCCTCTTCCTTCCACATCAGATTGTTTTCACCTTTGTGCCTTCATGGCTGACAGCTGTGTGTGCAAAATCCTTCCGCCAATCTTTCAGGGGTTCATTCCGTGTTTTTCATTAATGTCACAAATATCTGAATAGTGAGACCTTCTTTGTCACCTGAAATCATACACTCAGCATTATCTATTATTGATTTTGAATTCTGGCTGGGCACAGTGGCTCACGCCTGTAGTCCCATTACTTTGGCATGCTGAGACGGTCGGATCACTTGAGGTTGGGAGTTTCAGACAAGCTTGGCCAACGTGGTGAAACATCCTCTCTACAAAAAATATACAAAAAGAATTAGCCGGGCACGGTGGCAGTTGCCTGTAATCCCAGCTACTCGAGAGGCGGAGGCAGGAGAATCCCTTGAATCCAGGAGACGCAGGTTGCAGTGAGCCAAGATCGTGACACTGCACTGTAGCCTGGAAGACAGAGGGCGACTCTGTCTCAATAAACAAAAGAACAAACAAAAAATAGATTTCATGCACAGATGCTTCCCAATGGACCATTCATTTATAGATCCACTTGTGCGTTCATTTTCTGCCCTCCCATTTAACCATCTGCAATATCAGTGTCCCAAGGGCAGAGGCCAAATGCATCTTGTTCACTGTTTGTGGAAGGCAGGAGAATGCTGTCCCACCCCAAAATGTCCCTGTCCTAGCCTCCACAGCTTGTGAATATGTTATTTTACATGGAAAGGAGGAATGAAGATTGCAGATGGAATTATGGTTGCTAATCAGCTGAACTTAAAACAAGGGTATCCTGGATGATTTCCAGGAGATTATGAGGGATTTTCATCTTGGTGAACCCAATAGAATCCCCAAGTTTTCAAAAGATGAGGAAGAAGGGAGAGCAGCACTCAGAGAAAGAGGTGTGGTAAGGAAGAAGGCACTGAGTGATGCCATGTGAGATGTGACCAGTCTTTGTGGGCTTTGAGGAAGGAGGAAGGGGACCAGGAGCCAAGGAACTGGGAGCCTTTAGAAGCTGGGACAAGTGAGAAGCAGATTCGTGCCTGGAATCCTCAGAGGGAAGGCAGCCTTGCTGTCACCTTGATTTTAGCCCAGTAAGATGCACTTCCTACTTTGAGCTACAGCACTGTAAGATAATTAAAAAACCGTTTTGTTTTCACCCACGAATCTTGTGGAAATTTGTTATGGCAACAATAGGAAAAGGTTCCACACTGCACAGCCTGAGCATGGGGCCGTGGCTGAATGAGTCAGTGAGTCGAAGTGTGCGTGCATGAGCTCTGTTCTCTGTTACGGCAAGGCTCTTTCTCTGCGGAGTCAGCCAGGGTTGCTTCATGACCTACAGGAGCTCATTCCTTGGCAAGTGGAACTTCTCTAAAACACCTTGCCCTCATCAGATGTTCCCTTCCCTTCCCTCTCTCAAGTCTCCAGGAATTTATCCTCCAGTGAGGAATGCAGGTAGAACAAACATTGCATTTTTCCTGAGAAGGATGTCAGATTGGCAATCATTCTTCTAGCTTGTAGGAGGTCTCAGCTCCATAAAATGAGAGATGAAGAGATTTCACTGAGCCCTGTGTTGGGCCCAGATCCCTTTCGCTGTAGGAGTATCTGGAGTTCGGAGATGGTGGAAGACAAGTGTACAATGTCAGAGCTGTGAGATGCTGAGTCAACGCCTGAATCCAAGGTTCCCACCTCCCCAGGGTTCCAAAAGCGGATATAAGAGGGTTCTGTACTCACCGGTTTTGGAGCTTGGTTCAGTGGGTGAAGGCCAACTATTTGAAGGGTTTCCTAGAACATGAGACAGGAGAGAGGTGAGGAAATGAGGGTGTCTGTCCTCCACTCAGTGGAAATCTTTGAGGATGGTTCATGGCCAACACTCTCTTATCTAATATTGGGCCCTGGGAGTCCTGGGATCCTTTTTTCCATAATTTTTTTATATGACACCCACTGTCTTGAGACTTCAAGATATAAAGAGAAAACAGGAGCATCACACTACCTGATCTCAAAATATGTTACAGAGCTGTAGTAAGCAAAATAGCATGACATTGGCATAAAGAAAGGCACATAGAACAACGGAGCAGAATGAATAACACAGATATATTCCATGCATTTACATCCAATGGTTTTTTATTTTTTCTTTTGAGATGGAGTCTTGCTCTGTCACTCAGGCTGGAGTGCAGAGGTGCAATCTCGGTTCACTGCAACCTCAGCCTCCTGGGTTCAATCATTCTCTTGCCTCAAATTCCTGAGTAGTGGTATTACAGGTGCTGACCACCATGCTCAGCTAATTTTTATATTTTTAGTGGAGACGATGTTTCATCACGTTGGCCAGACTAATCTTGAACTCCTGGCCTCAGGTGATCCACCCACCTCGGGCTCCCAAAGTGCTGAAATTGCAGGTGTTAGCCACCAAGCCCAGCCCATCCAATGGACTTTGACAAAGATGCCAAGAACTCACAATCAGGAAAGGACAGTCTTTTCAATAAACAGTGCAGGGAAACCTGGACATCTACATGCAGAGGAATGAAACTGCAACTCTACCTGTCACCATACACAAAAATCAAATGAAAATGGATTAAAGATGTGAGTCTAAGGCCTGAACCTATGAAACACGTAGAACAAAATATTGGGGAAATGCTCCAGGACGTTTGTCTGAAGGAAGACATTTTGTTTTAAACCTTCAAAACACAAGTAATCGAAGCAAAAATAGACCATTGGGATTACCTCAAACTAAGCAACTTCAGCACTGCTAAAAATAAACCAACAAAGTGAAGAGACAACCCACAGATTGGGAGCAAATATGTGCAAACTATGCATCTGAGATGGGATTAATAACTAGAAATATAAGAAGCTCAAACAACTCAATAAAACAAATGATTTAATTGAAAAAGGAGCAAAAGACATGAAATTTCCCCACATACGAAAAAGTGCTCAGTATCACTCATCATCAGAGAAACGCAAATTAAAATCAAAGTGAGTTTTCATCTCACCCCATTAAAATGGCTTTTAGGCCGGGTGAGGTGGCTCACTTGTGTCATCCTAGAACTTTGAGAACCTGAGGTGGGTGAATCTCATAAGGTTGGGAGTTTGAGACCAGTCTGACCCACATAGAGAAACGCTGTCTCTACTAAAAATACAAAAATTAGTAGGGCGTGGTGGCGTGTGCCTGTAATTCCAGCTACTCGGGAGGCTGAGGCAGGAGAATCGCTTGAACCTGGGAGGTGGAGGTTGTGGTGAGCCGAGATAGCGCCACTGCACTCCAGCCTGGGTGAGAAGAGCAAAACTCCATCTCAAAATAAAATGAAATAAAATAAAATGGCTTTTAGCTGCAAGACAGGCAAAAGAAATGCTGGCAAGGTGGTAGAGAAAGGAGAACCCTGGTACCCTGTTGGTAGGAGTGTAAATTAGTACAGCCATTACGGAGAAAAGTATGGAAGTCCTTTAAAGAACTAAAAAGAGGTTGGGTGAGGTGGATCATGCCTGTAATCCCGGCACTTTGGGAGACCTGAGGCGGGCACCTCAGTTGAGGTCATGAGTTTGAGAGCAGCCCAGCCAACATGGGGAAACCGCATCTATACTAAAAAAACCAAAAAGTAGCCAGGCATGGTGGCGTGCGCCTGTAATCCCTAGCTACTAGGGAGGCTGAGGCAGGAAAATCATTTGAACCCAGGAGGCAGGAGGTTGCAATGAGCCAAGGTTGCACCACTTTGTACTCCAGCTTGGGCTACAGGAGGGAAACTCGTTCTCAAAAACAAAAAAAAAAAAAAAAAAAAAAGAGAACTTTCATAGTATCCAGCAATTTCACTACTGGGTTTATATCCAAAGGAAAGTAAATCAACATATCGAAGTGATATCTGCACTCGTATGATTGGTGCAGCACTGTTCACAGTAGCCAAGATGAGGAGTCAACCTACCTGCCCATCAGTGGGTGAATGGATAGAGAGAATGTGGTACATACGCATAGTGGAGACTACTCTTCCATAGAAAGAATAACATCCTGATCATTTGCAGCCACATGGATGGAACTGGAGGTCATTACAAAGATTCCCATTTCTTACCCATATACAGGAGCTAAAAGGTGGATCTCATGAAGGTAGAGAGTAGAATGGTGGCTACAGGAGGACAGGAAGAAAAGGGTGGAGGGTAAAAAAAAATGTATATATATATATATATAAATGTATTTATGACCACTAGACTTTACACTTAAAAATGGTAAATGTGGCTGGGCCTGGTGGCTCATGCCTGTAATCCCAGCACTTTGGGAGGCTGATGCGGGATGGATCACGTGGTCAGGAGTTCCGAGACCAGCTTGACCAACATGGTGAAACCACCTCTCTACTAAAAATACAAAAAGTAGCCTGGCATGGTGGTGCACGCCTGTAGCACCAGCTACTCAGGTGGCTGAGGCAAGGAGAATCGCTTGAACCCAGGAGGCGGAAGTTGCAGTGAGCTGAGATTGTGCCAATGCACTCCAGCATAGGGGACAGAGCTAGACTCCGCCTCAAAAAAAAATGTTAAAGGTGGTAAGCTATATAGGTATATTTATCCTCAATAAATATTTCTCAAACAAAAGTAAAGGGTGTAGGGGTTGCAGGTGATGACATCCCTGTGTGGGTGGGAGGCCAGGATGGGCTTCTGGGAAATGGGTAATGGTTGAGGGGCTGAGGGAACCTCTGATCTTCCCCAAACTGAGCCCAGTCTCCCTCCTCTGGGTCTCTCCTGACCGCTTTCTCCATCTGCCTGGGTGCCTGGAGTCCCTGGCCGCAGGCCTTCCATGCAGGCCATGTAGGAGGGTTTGGAGGTGCCCTGTCTGCCATCCTGTGCCCTGATCCCTCCCTCACACCCAGGCTTCGTCTTCTCTCTGCATCTGTTCCATGCCTTCTCTCCATCCTCAGCAGGAAGCTCCTCAGCTAAGGCTCTAGGATCATAGGACATGGGACAGCCATGGGCTTTCCTCACCTGTGACAGAAACAAGCAGTGGGTCACTCGAGTTTGACCACTCGTAGGGAGAGTCACGGAAAGAGCCGAAGCATCTGTAGGTTCCTCCGTGGGTGGCAGGGCCCAGAGGAAAGTCAGCCTGGAATGTTCCGTTGACCTTGGGCCCTGCAGGAGAACCTACGTTCATGGGCCTCCCCCTCCCTGGATAGATGGTACATGTCATAGGAGCTCCGGGAGCTGCAGGACAAGGTCACGCTCTCTCCTGCCAGAACCGTGGGGCCCGGCTGGGCTGAGAGAGAAGGTTTCTCATATAGACCTGGAAGGAGAAGAGGCATTTTCCTTACGGAGGATCTTCCTTGTCACAGCTCCCTTCACCTGAGCTGAGAACTCACTCCCCTGCTCTATGACCTAATGCTCTCTCTCTCTGTCTCTCACCCTCCACCCCATCTCTCTTCATGTCTATTTCCTCCTTCCACCTTCTCTGTCTCTCTAGGTCTCTGACCTCGCTTCCACACCTCTAGATATGTTTTCCCTTTTTGGATTCTTTTATTCTCTCTGACTCTCCTTGGATTGGTTGACTTGATGTTACTTTTTTAAATTCTAAGTTTCTCACTTTGTGTCCTGTTCATAACTTTCTGCATATTTCTATCTATTATCTATCGATCTATCTATTTATCTATTCGGTGCCTATCTACAAATTCTCTACCTGTCATCTATGTCTATATATCATCTATGTATCTATCACTTGTCTATCTATCCATCAATCATCTGTTATCTATATCTATGTATCATCTCTCTCTCTATGACTTCTGTCTGCCTCTCTATCTCTATGTATTATCTATCTGTCTTCATCATCATCATCTCTATGTCTCATCTATTAATGAATCAATCAATCATCATCTATGTATCTTTAACCTATTATCTATCATCTACCTATTTATCATCTATCTATATCTATCCATCTATCATCTGTCTTGCTCTGCCTCTCGGTCTCTCTAGTTCTCTTTGGAATCTCTGCAATTCATCCCCACATCTCCATCTTTCAATGTCCTTGTGCCTCTCCCTCAGGAGTCTAATTTTAGTGCTTTTCTCTGCTCCCTTCCATCATTCTCACTTCTCTGCCCTCTTTTCTCTCTCTTTATGTGTCTGTGAGTCTCTCAATCTCCTTCCTCTGGCTCATTCTCTGTGTGTTTATGTCTTTGCTTTTTGGTGTCCCTGATTTCTCTCTGTGCCTCTCACTGATCCTCTCATAAGTGGGCTTATTTGGAATATGAGCCTCAGAATCCAGTCTGGAGACTACAAGTTCACACAGCATACAGGGGTTGGTGTTGTGGGGCCATGATATCCTGGGACGATTACTCTCCATTACATGGAAGGCAGAGGTGTCAGAATAAACATGGCATCTGTAGGTGCCACAAGGCCTGAGGCCACAGGGCCCAACTCAGGTCAGAAATATGGGTGTCCTTGGGTTCTCCTGGTAGAGAACACTTTGTGGAGGTAAAACAGAAATGAAACTTCTAACCTGTGCCAGGTCTCTGAGCAAAGTCAGCATGGAGGGACACCTCTCTCTGGGACATGTCTGTCTGTGTGTCTCCTTTAACTCTTTCTGTCTTTTCTAACTCCCGGTATGGCCCCTGTGTCTGTTCTCTGTTATGACACCTGGTCTGTACTTGTGTCTCCTGTTTCTCTGTCTCTGTTGGCACAGACCTCACCAAGTCAGTCTCTCTCCATAAGAATACCAAGCTCATCTTCCTTACAGCCACCTGGGTCTCCAATTCCTGGATCATTCACTCTGCATCCCAATGACAATGAGAAGAAAGTCTGGACACTCTCACCTATGATCACGATGTCCAGAGGGTCACTGGGAGCTGACACCTGATAGGGGGAGTGAGTAACAGAACCGTAGCATCTGTAGGTCCCTGCCAGGTCTTGCGTCATGCGACTGATGGAGAAGTTGGCCTTGGAGACCCCATCATGGTGTTCTCCAATGAGGCGCAAAGTGTCGTTAAACATCCCCTCTCTGTGCAGAAGGAAGTGTTCAAACATGACATCTGACCAACATTGCAGGATGACTGTCTCTTCTGATTTCACCAGGGGACCTGGGTGGGCCAGGAGGGAAGGTTTTCTGTGGACTCCTAGGAAGAGAGGTTGTGAGTTTAGAAGGTGTCTCTCTTTATCATCCCATCCATGGCACCTGGATTGAGTCAGGCTTCCCCTTCCTGGTGTCTTATCTCTCTCCTTCCTCTCTGTGTCTTCATGTTCTTTTCTGTGCCCATAACTCCTGGTGCAGGTCCTTCCATCTGTCTCCCTCACTCTTCTCTGTCCCTCTGTCTCTAGTAGCCTCTGATTCCCTTGCCGCTGGGCTCAGCCTCATCTCTTGGGCTGTTGTATCTATTTCGAACTAATGTCTTTCCTGCTGTCTATGTGGGGGTGGAAGAGGAACCAGGATAGGCTGCACATCCAGGCTCTTAGCAGCCTGGTTCAATCTCTTTTGGACGAATTGGAATCCTTGGCAGGAGGTATGAACTGATCAGTAAGGCAGGCACCAGTGGCCACACACCCTGTTCCTGGTAGGGACTGGGAGCCACTCTTGCCATGCCAGTGCCAGCTTCCATAGGCTGGCTCCTGGTGCTGGTTGGAGGAGTATCAACCGCTCCCTATGTGGATGGAGCCTGGTGGTGGCATCATCATCTGAGCCTTGCTGATCTCAGTGTAGCCAACCTTCTCCTTGTTTGGTTTCTTTAATTAATTAATTAATTTTGGCGACAGAGTCTCACTCCTTTGCCCAGGCTGGAGTGAAGTGGTGTGGTCTAGGCTCACTGCAACCTCTGTCTCCTGGGTTCAAGTGATTCTCCTGCCCTCAGCCTCCCAAGTCGCTAGGATTACATGCACCTGCCACCATGCCTGGCTATCCTTGTGTTGTTTCTTAACTTGTCCTTGACCTGGGTTCCAGTGTTGGTTTCCTGTTGCTGCTGTAGAAAATTATCAGAAGCATGGCACCAGGAGAGAGCACACTAACCCCTTCCAATTCTGGAGACAGAAATCGGACCCTGTTTGTCGTGGGTAAAATCAAGGCACCTGCAGGGCTTCGTTCCCTCTGGAGACTCAGGAGAATCAGTTCCTTGACTTTTCCAGCCTCTATAGGCCACCTGCATTCATGGCTCCTGGACTTCCTCCACCTTCAAAGCTGGTGGAGTCTCCCATTGCGCTGCTGTAATCCCCACTCCCCTCTTCCTCCTCCTTTCATGTGGACCCCTGTGACTACACTGAGCCCATCAGGACAGTCCAGGCTGTCTCCCCATCTCAAGGTCAACTCATCAACAACCTGAGCTCCATCTTCTCCTTCAGTCCCTTCCCCTATATCATAAATAGTCACAGACTCCAGGGATTAGAATGTAGTCATCACTGGGGACAATTATTCTTCCCACCACAGCACCCATTTCCCTGTATTCAATCCCCCTTTACCCCAAATACAGTCAGGACTTGCATGATGGGACCCGCAAGGACACGCCCACCAGAAGCTCTGGGATTCAGGAGGTGGGACAAGGAGAATCCAGACAGGAGCCCTCTGACCTGTGGCCGTGATCTCCAGGGGTTGCTGGGTGCCGACCACCCACTGGGGTAGTGTGGGTGTGAACCCCGACATGTATAGCGTCCCTGCTGTGTGCTGGGGTCACAGGGCCCATGAAAAGGCTGTTCCAGAATATTATGTTGTAGAGCTCAGGGACCAGGCACCCCATCTTCCTTTTACAGACTGAAGTTGTTAAACCCAAGATAAGAATGACACCTGAAGAATCACATGTCCTGGAGGCACCACAGGCTTGGGCCAGGCAGACAGCAAGGGCTTGTCCTGACCACCGTGGGGAGAAGGAGGC
Organism: Homo sapiens; assembly: GCF_000001405.40. Classification (NCBI taxonomy): domain Eukaryota; kingdom Metazoa; phylum Chordata; class Mammalia; order Primates; family Hominidae; genus Homo; species Homo sapiens. The sequence goes on along the minus strand of NW_016107313.1, from coordinate 73,223 downwards.
ACCGCCTTAGAGAGGAGGATGTGGAGCCGCCCCTCCCTCCCTGTGCTCTGAAGATTCTCCTCGCTTTCCAAGTTTCTATGGCTGCTATCACACCTTGGTGCCCAGGGCTAAAGGAAGGACCCATCCCGCAAACACAAGGTGTCTCCCTACAACAAAAGTGTCAGCTGAGAACTTTGAGCAAGTGCTGAGTAAGAGACTCCTACTAGATTTTAATACTGTAAGATTACTCACATAAAACAACACAGGGTAGACATGGGGTGGAGGGCATGTCCTTTGAGAATGGAATATCAGCGATGCCTGAACGAAAATAACAACTGAGTCCCCCATCAGAGGATTGGAATGTCAGGGCCATGGCTGTGGTTTCCCACCTCTTCTGGTAGGAATGACAGCAGCCACACTGCAGCCCCTACCGTCATGGAAACGCTGAAGTGTGTGAGTAACACCTTTGTCCTCAGAGGATCTGCTGTTCCTACCACTTCCCCACCACACACCCCAGCTTTGAGCACCGTAGTCTAACCCTGGTCCCCACAGAACTTGACTCTGCCAAGGGAATGAAAGGCCAGGGAGGCAAGGTCAGAAATGTGGGCCCAGCACCCCAGGGTCCCTTCTTCCTAGTTTATGAGAGACTCCCTGACAGGACTTCCCTCCCATTTCAGGAAAATCCTCTTATGTGGGGAGATGACACCCGAAGGTTTGGAGAAGGACTCACCCTCATGTGGCCAGGCCCCCTGCAGCAAGAAGAACCCTGGAAAGAAAGATCATGATGGATGACCCATCTGCAGGCAAACCAGGGCACCCTTGCTGCCCCCACTGGGCTGTGAGTCTTGGTAGCCAGGCCCTTCCTGGGCTGAAGGTAAACTCACCCTCAGTGCCTACCTGCACCCAAGAACAGGGCTGTCGGCTGTGCAGAGACCCAGCCTCCAGGTCCATATCCCCACCTCAAGCCCATATCTCCACTCCAGGCCCATATCTCCACTCCAGGCCGATATTTCCACCCTAAGCCCATATCGCCAATCCAGGCCCATATCTCCAATCCAGGCTCAGATCTCCACCCTGGGCCCATATCTCCAATCCAGGCCCTTATCTCCACTCCAGGTCCATATCTCCTCTCCAGTCCCATATCTCCACTCCAGGCCCATATATCCTCTCCAGTCCCATATCTCCACACCCAGGCCCGTATCTCCATCCTAGGCACATATCTCCTCTCCAGGCCCAGATATCGACCTCTAGGCCCATATCTCCACTCCTGGCCCATATCTCCACTCCAGGCCCAGATATCGACCTCTAGGCCCATATCTCCACTCCTGGCCCATATCTCCACTCCAGGCCCATGTCTCCACTTCAGGCCCATATCTCTACTGCAGGCCCGTAACTCCACCTCCAGGCCCATGACTCCACTCCAGGCCCATATCTCCACCTCCAGGCCCATATCTCCCCTCCAGGTTCCTATCTCCCCTCCAGGTTCCTATCTCCACTCCAGGCCCAGATCTCCACTACAGTCCCATCACTCCACCTCCAGGCCTATATCTCGACCTCTGGGCCCAGATCTCCACTTCTAGGCCCATCACTCCATCTCTAGGCCCATATATCCACTCCAGGCCCAGATCTCCACTCCAGGCCCATAACTCCACCTCCAGGCCTATATCTCCACCTCTGGGCCCAGATCTCCATCCCCTCACTCCCTCCCTCTATTGCTTTCCAGGACTCACCAACACACGCCATGCTGACGAACAAGAGCGACATGGTGCTGCCGGAGCAGACAGGCAGCCGCGACCGAGCTCAGCTCAGCAGCGCACAGGATGTTATTTGGCGCCCTGCCCATGCAGTTTACATGTTGACCACATCATGGGAGGGTGACGTACGCAGGCTCTTTCTACCTTGCATGAGGCCCAGTGGGTGCTCGCTCAAGAGCGGAACACGGCTTCCTGGAAATTGTTCTCGCTAGAATTTGACACCTAGTGTCCTTCACTATGACCAACTCAAAACACGTCTGAGATCCAACCTCCCGAACACGAGATGCCTAAAATCTGTGCTAACATGAAAGACTTTTCATGTATTTCTATTGTTTTTATCTGAGATTCAAACTCTTCTTCCTGTGTAATATGCAAAATATCTAATAGGTATTATTAATGTTTTCAGAGTCATTGTGACTAACAAACCATTAGAATTTTTCATGCTTGTATTTCTAGTATTACAGCAGAACCAGTTAAAATGATTTAAATTCCCAGGGAAGGATTATGCAATTATTTACAATCTTAGAATTGTACTTTATCAGTAAAAACCCCACCTGTAAATTCTGGAGTTTTGTAGTTTAATCTAAAATTTGTCTCATGACCCAAGATTCCAGAGTCCCAACTCTGGAGTTTGTTTTCCGTCTGTCTCTCTCCCTCCCTCATTTTAAATTTTACAGAAATATCCAGTAACATAATGCTATAGAAAATCAAGTTTCCCCAGCACGTTGGGAAGCCGAGGTGGGCGGATCAACTGAGATAAGGAGTTTGAGAGCAGCCTGGCCAATATAGTGAAACCGTGTCTCTGTTAAAAATCCAAAAATTAGCCGTGCCTGGTGGCAGGCACCTGTAACGCCAGCTACTCAAGAGGCTGAGGCACGAGAATCGCTTGAACCTGGGAGGCAGAAGTTGCAGTGAGCTGAGATTGTGTCACTGCAGTCCAGCCTGGGCGACAGAGCAAGACTCCGCCTCAAGAAAAAAAAGCAAATAGCCTATAATAACAAATTAGAGAGCTCTGGCTACTAAATTTAAAGGGTTCTATAAGGCTACATAAAGTGCAGCATCATCAAGAGTGTGGACACAGAGAGCCCCTTAGCAGAAACAGTGTCTAAAGTACATCCGTGTACACACAGTCCCTTTAGAGTTGACAAAGGCTGCCGTGTGGTTTAAGGTGGCATAGAATGTCTTCTCAATAAATAATATTAAACCAATGGGTTATACCTAGGAAAAAATAAATCTAACTCACACTATAAAAACACTTCTTAGTTTTTATCTAGTTGTACATTTTTTATGATTTATATTTAAATTTGAGAAATAAAAGTCATATACGGTCATCCTTCACTATTCCTGGGTGATTGGTTTCGAGATCTCCACTCAGATACCAAAATCTGTAGATGCTCAAGCCTCTTATATGAAATGGCACAGAGTTTGCAAATAACCTATGCACATCCTCCTGTATACATGAAATCATCTCTAGATTACTTATAATTCCTGATGCAGCCTACACACAGCTTCATTTGTGTCCATTCAACACAGTTCTGCTTTTTGTAACTCTGTGGATACTTTCTCTGAATATTTTTGATTTATACTCGGTTCAATAAAGAACTGTAAACCCCACAGATATGGAGGAGTGACTGTATATTTATAGTGTGAAAGATGATGTGTTGATATGTGTCCCTGTGTAGATGAGACTAACAAGGCCTATGACTCTACAAATGTTTCATCTTGGAATGACTCTGCCAGATTTCCAGGTCTGCAGAGAGTAAGAATATCACTTGTTCATGTGATTCACGATCCTTGGAACCTCCTATGTGCTACATCTTTGGATGGAAATAGGAGTCCCAGAGACAAATGAGGCTCCACCCTGCTTCCAGAAACTCAGAGTCCGGGGGTGAGAACCCAGTGGAGAACAGATGGGGTTATGTGGACATGGTAATGATAACACTGGAAGTCTTAGGCAAGAAAAGAGTCCCATTACCGAAACCATGAGGGCAGACATGTTTATTTGAAGGAGGGAAAACTACATTGAAATTATTTTAAAAAATATATAAGTTTTACTGCTGACAGAAGGCTGAAAGATACTCTGAGGGGAGGTGGAACAGCATGAGGGAAGGTGGAACAGGACGTGTCTAAGTGCCGTGTTAAGAGGGAGCCTCTTGTATGTTTGGAACTGTGAGTTCCTCAGTGTGATTGCAGCCTCAAGTAGACTAGGAAGTAAGCCAGTAAGGTTGGAGAGGTGGGCAGGGGTCAAGTGAAATGGAGAATTGTGGGCTAAGCAAAGGAGTGTGTTTTCTCTCCAGCAGGCAGTGGGGACCTTAGACATTTGTAAGCAAGAGAGAGGCACATTCAGATTTGTGGTGTGAGGAAGAGCGATGCCCTAAGATGCAGACTCACGCCTTCAGATTCCAGCTGCTGGTACATGGGAGCTGGCAACCCGGTTTTGAGACAGGGCTGTTGTCTCCCTAGAAGATCCCCTCAAGGCCTGACTGTGGTGCTCATGGGCAGGAGACAACTTTGGATCTGGACTCAGCATTTGGAAGTTCCGTGTACACTCTGGTATCTGTTGGGGGTGTCTTGGGCCTCTGAGAAGGGCGAGTGATTTTTCTCTGTGTGAAAACGCAGTGATCCAACTGTACGTATGTCACCTCCTGAGGGTCTTGTTCATCAGAGTCCTGGAGAGAGGGAAATGCTGAGTGAGGGAGGGTGCTCACGTTTTCCAGGACTGTTTGGGAATAACACTAGCCACGAGGCTGGGCCGAGGAGCACCTACCTCGCTATTCGCTGTTCTGTTCCCTGCAGGCTCTTGGTCCATTACAGCAGCATGTGTAGGAGACGGAAGTCAACAAAAGAGCTCGGAGGGCACTTCTGGGTCCTCATTTCATAAGCAGATACCAACAAACAGGGGGAGGCCATAGGTGCCTGAGGTCCCTCAGTTGCCAACAGCAGACTCAGACATTCTATCTCTCTGAGCTCAAGGACCCATCCCATGAATAGCTCTGAGTTCCCATCCCATTGATTCTGTCTCCCACTTTCTGCCTGTCATGGAACCTTCTCCTGGATGTGAGTGGCTGCAGGGGACATGAGGATACAGTTCAGAATCAGGCAACGGTCTGTGAGCTGAAAGCAGGGACAGGGAGTCTGGTGCCCTCTCTAGAAAGTCCTGCCTCTGTGGCTGCTGCCTTGGGCCAGGGACCATCCTACCTGTGAGGAACACACACCTGAGTGCTCCCATCCTGCTTCCCCACATGGCCCTGAGCTCTCTGGCCTCTCCTTCGTGAGACTTACTTTTCTTGTTGGAGCACCAGCGATGAAGGAGAAAGAAGAGGAGGAGGATGAAGAGGATGATGACCACTGAGGTCCCAATCAGAACGTGCAGGTGTCTTGGGTTACCTGGAAGAAGATGAGACACCAATAAGAAGCTAATCATAGCAGTTCCTCTTTATGAATTGTCTCGCATTTCTTGATTGACAGGTAACCACGTAAAACACCTCTTTAGGACAAGCACCCAGATGGCGGGAGACCCAGCTTTCTCCTGCTTTCTCAGTTATAGCTCTCAAAGTAACCATAGAATGTGCTGAGGATACAACTACTTTAGTTGAGATGTTTGACCCCTTCAAACCTCACATTGAAATTTCACCCCCATTGTGGGAGGTTGGGCCTCTTGAGAGGTGTTTGGGTCATGGAGGTGGATCCATCATGAACAGATCAATGCTGTCCCAAGGAGACGGGGTTAGCTAGTTCCCCCTCTATTAGTTCCCAGAGAGCTGGTTGTTCAAAAGAACTTGGAAGCTCCATCGCTCCCCCTCCCCCTTGCTCCCTCTCTTGCCGTGTGATCTCTGTGGTCTCTGCACAGACAGACCCTCCTTCCCTTCTGCCAGAGTGGGAGCAGCCTGAGGCCATCACGAGAAATAGATGCTGGTGCCATGCTTCCAGTACAGCCTGCAGAACGGTGAGGCAAACCAATCTCTTTTCTTTAGAAGTTGCCCAGGCTCAAGTGTTCCTTTAGAGCAACAAAAATGGACTAAGACAGCAACGTCCTGAGATCAGGAGGAACGTCCCAGAGCAGCCTGGGCTGTCTTCCTGTTCTTCCTGGAGGAGGACGTCATGCAGTGCTTTAGCTGAGTGCTTCCTGTGGCTCCAGGGTACAAAACCCAGGCTGGGCTGCTTTCTGGCTTCCCCCAGCTACACTGCAAATGGGGTGACTCCATATGTCCCGAGCAGCTTTTCTGAGCCTTGAGGGACTGGCTCACATTGAAATGTAGGCTTCTGTTTTCACTCGCTGCTTATCTGTTAGTAATGAACCTGCCTATGTAACGTATTCTCTGTGTGTTCTGTCTCCCTGGAGTGACGGTGAGTGATAGGAATTGGCGTAGGCCCAGGTGCAGTCTAGGAGGTGTTTAGGGTCTTTTCTGGGAAGACTGCACTGGGATTGACACACAGCGAATGTGCTTTAGGATTTCTACATCCACAGCATTCTTGAGTCAAACAACTTGCGTTCTCCAAGGAAAGGAAACAAAAGTGAAATCAAGATAAAAAAGCGAAATAGAGTTATCTTATGTCCAACAGCCAGGAAATCGTGTTGAAGCCCCTGTGAAACGTCCTACTCTTTGTGATCTCGGGAGACACATGTTAGGCTGCTGTTCTACCTGAGAGGCTGGGGGAAGGACCACCCCCTCCACCATCTATTGCTTCAATACCACCTGTCCTCCTGTGAATTAGTAGGAAAGGGGAGCAGGAGCTAGTGCTGGTGCTGATCTCTCATTCCAAGATCTGGACTCACTCCAAGGAGTATTAATGTTTACCTCCCCATGGTCTATCTGAATCTCCACAGGTGATTGGAAGTAGGGGTGAAGTGGGGGATTTGAGTGAGAGGGCAAGTTTTTTTTGTGATGAACAGAGCACTTTCTCTATTCCACGATCTGTGCTGGAGGATTCAGCGGGCTTTCACATTTTCTATATGGTCTCATGCTCACAGAAAGCCAAATACGGAAGAGGTTTTAGGCTCATTGCCTAATGGATAAGACAAAGGATCAAAGAAGTAATTATAGAGAAATACAAAAATGATGATTGGAATTCAGGTGCCTTTGTCATTCGTGTGTGTTTTATTATATTTATGCATTTCTTATTTTTATTTTTTGAGACGGAGTCTCCTTGTGTCACCCAGGCTGGAGTGCAGTGATGCAATCTCCACTCACTGCAACCTCCACCTCCTGGGTTGAAGTTGTTCTCCTGCTTCATCCTCAAGAGTAGGAGCTGGGATTACAGGGATGCACCACCATGCTCGGCTAATTTTTGTATTTTTCATAGAGACAGGGTTTCACCATTTTGGCCAGGCTGGTCTGGAACTCCTGACTTCAAGTGATCCACCCGCCTTGGCCTCCTGCAGTGCTGGGAATTGCCTTTTCCACGGCCTGAGCATGGGGCCGTGGCTGAATGAGTCAGTGAGTCGAAGTGTGCGTGCATGAGCTCCGTTCTCTGTTAAGGCAAAGCTCTTGCTCTGCTGAGTCAGCCAGGGTTGCTTCATGACCAACAGTAATTCATTCCTGGGCAAGTGGAACTTCTCTAAAACACCTTGCCCTCATCAAATGTTCCCTACCCTTCCCTCTCTCAAGCCCCCAGGAATTTATCCTCCAGTTAGGAATGCAGGCAGAACAAACATTGCATTTTTCCTGAGAAGGATGTCAGATTGCCAATCATTTTTCTAGCTTGTAGGAGATCTCAGCTCCATAAAATGAGAGATTAAGAGATTTCACTGAGCCCTGTTTTGGGTCCAGATCCCTTTCGCTGTTGGAGTATCTGGAGTTCGGAGATGGTAGAAGACAGGCGTACAATGTCAGAGCTGTGAGATGCTGAGTCAACGCCTGAATCCAAGGTTTCCACCTCCCCAGGTTTCCAAAAGCGGATATAAGAGGGTTCTGTACTCACCGGTTTTGGAGCTTGGTTCAGTGGGTGAAGGCCAACTATTTGAAGGGTTTCCTAGAACACGAGACAGGAGAGAGGTGAGGAAATGAGGGTGTCTGTCCTCTACTCAGTGGAAATCTTTGAGGTTGGTTCATGGCCAACACTCTGTTATCTAATATTGGGCCCTGGGAGTCCTGGGATCCTTTTTTCCGTAATTTTTGTATGTGACGGCTACTGTCTTGAGACTTCAAGGTATAAAGAGAAAACAGGAGCATCACACTACCTGATCTCAAAATATGTTACAGAGCTGTAGTAAGCAAGACAGCATGACGTTGGCATGAAGAAAGGCACATAGAACAACGGAGCAGAATGAATAACACAGATATAATCCATGCATTTACCTCCAATGTATTTTTTGTTTTTCTTTTGAGATGGAGTCTTGCTCTGTCACCCAGGCTGGAGTGCAGAGGTGCAATCTCGGTTCACTGCCACCACAGCCTCCTGGGTTCAATCACTTCTCTTGCCTCAAACTCCTGAGTAGTGGTATTACAGGTGCTGACCACCATGCTCAGCTAATTTTTATATTTTTAGTGTAGACGATGTTTCATCACGTTGGCCAGACTAATCTTGAACTCTTGGCCTCAGGTGATCCACCCACCTCGGGCTCCCAAAGTGCTGAAATTGCAGGTGTCAGCCACCATGCCCAGCCCATCCAATGGACTTTGACAAAGGTGCCAAGAACTCACAATCAGGAAAGGACAGTCTTTTCAATAAACAGTGCAGGGAAACCTGGACATCTACATGCAGAGGAATGAAACTGCACCTCTGCCTGTCACTATACACAAAAATCAAATGAAAATGGATTAAAGATGTGAGTCTAAGGCCTGAACCTATGAAACACGTAGAAGAAAATATTGGGGAAATGCTCCAGGACGTTTGTCTGAAGGAAGACATTTTGTTTTAAACCTTCAAAACACAAGTAATCGAAGCAAAAATAGACCATTGGGATTACCTCAAACTAAGCAACTTCTGCACCGCTAAAAATAAACCAACAAAGTGAAGAGACAACCCACAGATTGGGAGCAAATATGTGCAAACTATGCATCTGAGATGGGATTAATAACTAGAAATATAAGAAGCTCAAACAACTCAATAAAACAAATGATTTAATTGAAAAAGGAGCAAAAGACATGAAATTTCCCCACATACGAAAAAGTGCTCAGTATCACTCATCATCAGAGAAACGCAAATTAAAATCAAAGTGAGTTTTCATCTCACCCCATTAAAATGGCTTTTAGGCCGGGCGTGGTGGCTCACGTCTGTCATCCTAGAACTTTGAGAGCCTGAGGTGGGTGAATCTCATAAGGTCGGGAGTTTGAGACCAGTCTGACCCACATGGAGAAACACTGTCTCTACTAAAAATACAAAAATTAGTCGGGCGTGGTGGCGTGTGCCTGTAATTCCAGCTACTCGGGAGGCTGAGGCAGGAGAATCGCTTGAACCTGGGAGGTGGAGGTTGTGGTGAGCCGAGATCGCACCACTGCACTCAGCCTGGGTGACAAGAGCGAAACTCCATCTCAAAATAAAATGAAATAAAATAAAATGGCTTTTAGCTGCAAGACAGGCAAAAGAAATGCTGGCAAGGTGTTAGAGAAAGGAGAATCCTGGTATCCTGTTGGTAGGAGTGTAAATTAGTACAGCCATTACGGAGAAAAGTGTGGAAGTCCTTTAAAGAACTAAAAAGAGGTTGGGTGAGGTGGATCATGCCTGTAATCCCGGCACTTTGGGAGACCGAGGCGGGCACCTCAGTTGAGGTCATGAGTTTGAGAGCAGCCCAGCCAACATGGGGAAACCGCATCTATACTAAAAAAAACAAAAAGTAGCCAGGCATGGTGGCGTGCGCCTATAATCCCTGATACTAGGGAGGCTGAGGCAGGAAAATCATTTGAACCCAGGAGGCAGAGGTTGCAATGAGCCAAGATGACATCACTTGTACTCCAGCCTGGGCACAGAGGGAAACTGTCTCAAAAACAAAAACAAAACAACAAACGAAAAACTAAAAAGAGAACTTTCATAGTATCCAGCAATTTCACTACTGGGTTTATATCCAAAGGAAAGTAAATCAATATATCGAAGTGATATCTGCACTCGTATGATTGGTGCAGCACTCTTCACAGTAGCCAAGATGAGGAGTCAACCTACCTGCCCATCAGTGGGTGAATGGATAGAGAGAATGTGGTACATTTGCATAGTGGAGACTACTCTTCCATAGAAAGAAAAACATCCTGATATTTGCAGCCACATGGATGGAACTGGAGGTCATTACAAAGATTCCCATTTCTTACCCATATACAGGAGCTAAAAGGTGGATCTCATGAAGGTAGAGAGTAGAATGGTGGCTACCAGAGGCCAGGAAGAAAAGGGTGGAGGGTAAAAAAAAATATGTGTATATATATATATATTAATGTATTTATGACCACTAGACTTTACACTTAAAAATGGTAAATGTGGCTGGGCGTGGTGGCTCATGCCTGTAATCCCAGCACTTTGGGAGGCTGATGCGGATGGATCACGTGGTCAGGAGTTCCAGACCAGCTTGACCAACATGGTGAAACCCCCTCTCTACTAAAAATACAAAAAGTAGCCTGGCATGGTGGTGCACGCCTGTAGCACCAGCTACTCAGGTGGCTGAGGCAAGAGAATCGCTTGAACCCAGGAGGCGGAAGTTGCAGTGAGCTGAGATTGTGCCAATGCACTCCAGCATAGGGGACAGAGCTAGACTCCGCCTCAAAAAAAAAATGTTAAAGGTGGTAAGCTATATAGGTATATTTATCCTCAATAAATATTTCTCAAACAAAAGTAAAGGGTGTAGGGGTTGCAGGTGATGACATCCCTGTGTGGGTGGGAGGCCAGGATGGGCTTCTGGGAAATGGGTAATGTTGAGGGGCTGAGGGAACCTCTGATCTTCCCAAACTGAGCCCAGTCTCCCTCCTCTGGGTCTCTCCTGACCGCTTTCTCCATCTGCCTGGGTGCCTGGAGTCCTGGCCGCAGGCCTTCATGCAGGCCATGTAGGAGGGTTTGGAGGTGCCCTGTCTGCCATCCTGTGCCCTGATCCCTCCCTCACACCCAAGCTTCGTCTTCTCTCTGCATCTGTTCATCCTTCTCTCCATCCTCAGCAGGAAGCTCCTCAGCTAAGGCTCTAGGATCATAGGACATGGGACAGCCATGGGCTTTCCTCACCTGTGACAGAAACAAGCAGTGGGTCACTCGAGTTTGACCACTCGTAGGGAGAGTCACGGAAAGAGCCGAAGCATCTGTAGGTTCCTCCGTGGGTGGCAGGGCCCAGAGGAAAGTCAGCCTGGAATGTTCCGTTGACCTTGGGCCCTGCAGAGAACCTACGTTCATGGGCCTCCCCCTCCCTGGATAGATGGTACATGTCATAGGAGCTCCGGGAGCTGCAGGACAAGGTCACGCTCTCTCCTGCCAGAACCGTGGGGCCCGGCTGGGCTGAGAGAGAAGGTTTCTCATATAGACCTGGAAGGAGAAGAGGCATTTTCCTTACGGAGGATCTTCCTTGTCACAGCTCCCTTCACCTGAGCTGAGAACTCACTCCCCTGCTCTATGACCTAATGCTCTCTCTCTCTGTCTCTCACCCTCCACCCCATCTCTCTTCATGTCTATTTCCTCCTTCCACCTTCTCTGTCTCTCTAGGTCTCTGACCTCGCTTCCACACCTCTAGATATGTTTTCCCTTTTTGGATTCTTTTATTCTCTCTGACTCTCCTTGGATTGGTTGACTTGATGTTACTTTTTTAAATTCTAAGTTTCTCACTTTGTGTCCTGTTCATAACTTTCTGCATATTTCTATCTATTATCTATCGATCTATCTATTTATCTATTCGGTGCCTATCTACAAATTCTCTACCTGTCATCTATGTCTATATATCATCTATGTATCTATCACTTGTCTATCTATCCATCAATCATCTGTTATCTATATCTATGTATCATCTCTCTCTCTATGACTTCTGTCTGCCTCTCTATCTCTATGTATTATCTATCTGTCTTCATCATCATCATCTCTATGTCTCATCTATTAATGAATCAATCAATCATCATCTATGTATCTTTAACCTATTATCTATCATCTACCTATTTATCATCTATCTATATCTAACCTTCTATCATCTGTCTTGCTCTGCCTCTCGGTCTCTCTAGTTCTCTTTGGAATCTCTGCAATTCATCCCCACATCTCCATCTTTCTATGTCCTTGTGCCTCTCCCTCAGGAGTCTAATTTTAGTGCTTTTCTCTGCTCCCTTCCATCATTCTCACCACTCCTCTGCCCTCTTTTCTCTCTCTTTATGTGTCTGTGAGTCTCTCAATCTCCTTCCTCTGGCTCATTCTCTGTGTGTTTATGTCTTTGCTTTTTGGTGTCCCTGATTTCTCTCTGTGCCTCTCAGTGATCCTTTCATATGTGGGGTTATTTGGAATGTGAGCCTCAGAATCCAGTCTGGAGACCACAAGTTCACACAGCATACAGGAGTTGGTGTTCTGGGGCCATGATATCCTGGGACGGTTACTCTCCATTACATGGAAGGCAGAGGTGTCAGAATAAACACGGCATCTGTAGGTGCCACAAGGCCTGAGGCCACAGGGCCCAACTCAGGTCAGAAATATGGGTGTCCTTGGGTTCTCCTGGTAGAGAACACTTTGTGGAGGTAAAACAGAAATGAAACTTCTAACCTGTGCCAGGTCTCTGAGCAAAGTCAGCATGGAGGGACACCTCTCTCTGGGACATGTCTGTCTGTCTGTCTCCTTTAACTCCTTCTGTCTTTTCTAACTCCCGGTATGGCCCCTGTGTCTGTCCTCTGTTATGACACCTGGTCTGTACTTGTGTCTCCTGTTTCTCTGTCTCTGTTGGTACAGACCTCACCAAGTCAGTCTCTCTCCATAAGAATACCAAGCTCATCTTCCTTACAACTACCTGGGGGTTCCAAGTCGTGGATCATTCACTCTGCATCCCAATGACAATGAGAAGAATGTCCGGACACTCTCACCTGTGATGACGATGTCCAGAGGGTCACTGGGAGCTGACAACTGATGGGGGAGTGAGTAACAGAACCGTAGCATCTGTAGGTCCCTGCCAGGTCTTCCATCATGGGACCGATGGAGAAGTTGGCCTTGGAAACCCCATCATGGTGCTCTCCAGTGAGGTGCAAAGTGTCGTTAAACTTCCCTTCTCTGTGCAGAAGGAAGTGCTCAAACCTGACATCTGACCAACATTGCAGGATGACTGTCTCTTCTGATTTCACCAGGGGACCTGGGTGGGCCAGGAGGGAAGGTTTTCTGTGGACTCCTAGGAAGAGAGGTTGTGAGTTTAGAAGGTGTCTCTCTTTATCATCCCATCCATGGCACCTAGAATGAGTGAGGCTTCCCCTTGCTGGTGTCTGTCTCTCTCCTTCCTCTCTGTGTCTTCATGTTCTTTTCTGTGCCCATAACTCCTGGTGCAGGTCCTTCCATCTGTCTCCCTCCCTCTTCTCTGTCCCTCTGTCTCTAGTCGCCTCTGATTCCCTTCCCACTGGGCTTAGCCTCATCTCTTGGGGTGTTGTATCTATTTCACACTAATGTCTTTCCTGCTGTTTATGTGGGGGTGAAAGAGGAACCAGGATAGGCTGCACATCCAGCCTCTTATCAGCCTGGTTCAATCTCTTTTGGATGAATTGGAATCCTTGGCAGTAGGTATGAACTGATGAATAAGGCAGGCACCAGTGTCCACACACCCTGTTCCTGGTCGGGACTGGGAGCCACTCTTGCCATGCCTGTGCCTTCTCCATGGTGCCAGCTTCCATAGGCTGGCTCCTGGTGCTGGTTTGAGGAGTATCAACCCCTCCCTATGTGGATGGAGCCTGGTGGTGGCATCATCATCCCACACTTGCTCATCTCGGTGTAGCCAACCTTCCCCTTGTTTGGTTCCTTTAATTAATTAATTAATTATGGAGACAGAGTCTCACTCCTTCACCCCAGCTGGAGTGAAGTGGTGTGGTCTAGGGTCACTGCAACCTCTGTCTCCTGGGTTCAAGTGATTCTCCTGCCCTCAGCCTCCCAAGTCGCTAGGATTACATGCGCCTGCCACCACACCCGGCTATCCTTGTGTTGTTTCTTACCTTGTCCTTGACCTGGGTTCCAGTGTTGGTTTCCTGTTGCTGCTGTAGAAAATTATCAGAAGCATGGCAGCAGGAGAGAGCACACTGACCCATTTCACTACTGGAGACAGAAATAGGACCCTGTTTTTCCTGGGCTAAAATCAAGGCATCTGCAGGGCTTCGTTCCCTCTGGAGACTCTGGAGAATCATTTCCTTGACTTTTCCAACCTCTACAGGCCACCTGCATTCATGGCTCCTGGCCTTCCTCCACCTTCAAAGCTGGTGGAGTCTCCCATTGCGCTGCTCTAATCCCCACTCCCCTCTTCCTCCTCCTTTCATGTGGACCCTTGTGATTACACTGAGCCCAGCGGGACAGTCCAGGCTGTCTCCCCATCTCAAGGTCAACTCATCAACAACCTGAGCTCCATCTTCCCCTTCAGTTCCTTCCCCTATAACATAAATAGTCACAGACTCCAGGGATTTGAATGTAGTCATCACTGGGGACAATTATTCTTCCCACCACAGCACCCATTTCCCTGTATTCAATCCCCCTTTACCCCAAATATAGTCAGGGCCTGGGTGATGGGACCCTCAAGGACACGCCCACCAGAAGCTCTGGGATTCAGGAGGTGGGAAAGGAGAATCCAAGACAGGAGCCCTCTGACCTGTGGCCATGATCACCAGGGTGTTGCTGGGTGCCGACCACCCACTGGGGTAGTGTGGGTGTGAACCCCGACATCTGTACGTCCCTGTGTGTGCTGGGGTCACAGGGCCCATGAAAAGGCTCTTCCAGAATATTCTGTTGTAGAGCTCAGTGCCAGGCACCCCATCTTCCTTTTACAGACTGAAGTTGTTAAACCCAAGATAAGAATGACACCGAAGAATCACATGTCCTGGAGGCACCACAGAGCTGGGCCAGGCAGACAGCAAGGGCTTGTCCTGACCACCTTGGGGAGAAGGAGGCACCGCCTTAGAGAGGAGGATGTGGAGCCACCCCTCCCTCCCTGTGCTCTGAAGATTCTCCTCGCTTTCCAAGTTTCTATGGCTGCTATCACACCTTGGTGCCCAGGGCTAAAGGAAGGACCCATCCCGCAAACACAAGGTGTCTCCCTACAACAAAAGTGTCAGCTGAGAACTTTGAGCAAGTGCTGAGTAAGAGACTCCTACTAGATTTTAATACTGTAAGATTACTCACATAAAACAACACAGGGTAGACATGGGGTGGAGGGCATGTCTTTGAGAATGGAATATCAGCAGATGCCTGAATGAAAATAAGCAACTGAGCCCCCATCAGAGGATTTGGAATGTCAGGGCCATGGCTGTGGTTTCCCACCTCTTCTGGTGGAGTGACAGCAGCCACACTGCAGCCCCTACCGTCATGGAAACGCTGAAGTGTGAGTAACACCTTTGTCCTCAGAGGATCTGCTGTTCCTACCACTTCCCCACCACGCACCCCAGCTTTGAGCACCCCAGTCTAACCCTGGTCCCCACAGAACTTGACTCTGCCAAGGGAATGAAAGGCCAGGGAGGCGAGGTCGGAACTGTGGGCCGAGCACCCCAGGGTCCCCTCTTCCTAGTTTATGAGAGGCTCCCTGACAGGACTTCCCTCCTGTTTCAGGAAAATCCTCTTATGTGGGGAGATGACACCCGAAGGTTTGGAGAAGGACTCACCCTCATGTGGCCAGGCCCCCTGCAGCAAGAAGAACCCTGGAAAGAAAGATCATGATGGACGATCCATCTGCAGGCAAACCAGGGCACCCTTGCTGCCCTCACTGGGCTGTGAGTCTTGGTAGGCAGGCCCTTCCTGGACTGAAGTTAAACTCACCCTCAGTGCCTACCTGCACCCAAGAACAGGGCTGTCGGCTGTGCAGAGACCCAGCCTCCAAGCCCAGATCCCCACCACAAGCCCATATCCCCACCACAAGCCCATATCTCCACTCCAGGCCAATATTTCCACCCTAGGCCTGTATCTCCACTCCAGGCCCATATCTCCACTCCAGGCCGATATTTCCATCATAGGCCCATATCGCCAATCCAGGCCCATATCGCCAATCCAGGCCAAGATCTCCACTGTAAGCCCATATCTCCAATCCAGGCCCATATCTCCACCCCAGGCTCAGATCTCCACCCTAGGCCCATATCTCCAATCCAGGCCCATATCTCCACACCAGGCCCATATCTCTACTGAAGGCCAGTAACTCCACCTCCAGGCCCATATCTCCACTCCAGGCCCAGATCTCCACCCCAAGCCCATATCTCCACCCCAGGCCCATATCTCTACTGAAGGCCCGTAACTCCACCTCCAGGCCCATATCTCCACCCCAGGCCCAGATCTCCACCCCAAGCCCATATCTCCACTCTAGGCCCATATCTCCTCTCCAGTCCCATATCTCCACAACCAGGCCCATATCTCCATCCTAGGCCCATATTTCCACTCTAGGCCCAGATATCCACCTCTAGGCCCATATCTCCACTCCTGGCCCAAATCTCCACTCCAGGCCCATATCTCTACTATAGGCCTATAACTCCACCTCCAGGCCCATGTCTCCACTCCAGGCTCCTATCTCCCCTCCAGGTTCCTATCGGCACTCCAGGCCCAGATCTCCACTTCTAGGCCCATCACTCCATCTCTAGGCCCATATATCCACTCCAGGCCCAGATCTCCACTCCAGGCCCACAACTCCACCTCCAGGCCTATATCTCCACCTCTGGGCCCAGATCTCCAACCCCACACTCCCTTCCTCTATTCCCTTCCAGGACTCACCAACACACGCCACGCTGACGACCGTGAGCGACATGGTGCTGCCGGTGCAGACAGGCGGCCGCGCCCCAGCTCAGCTCAGCAGCGCACAGGATGTTATTTGGCGCCCTGCCCATGCAGTTTACATGTTGACCACATCATGGGAGGGTGACGTACGCAGGCTCATTCTACCTTGCATGAGGCCCAGTGGGTGCTCGCTCAAGAGCGGAACACGGCTTCCTGGAAATTGTTCTCACTAGAATTTACACCTAGCGTCCTTCACTATGACCAACTCAAAACACGTCTCAGATCCAACCTCCTGAACACGAGATGCCTAAAATCTGTGCTAACGTGAAAGACTTTTCATGTATTTTTATTGTTTTTATCTGAGATTCAAACTCTTCTTCATGTGTAATATGCAAAATATCTAATAGGTATTATTAAGGTTTTCAGAGTCATTGTGACTAATAAACCATTAGAATTTTTCATGCTTGTATTTCTAGTATTACAGCAGAACCAGTTAAAATGATTTAAATTCCCAGGGAAGGATTATGCAATTATTTACAATCTTTGAATTGTACGTTATCAGCAAAAACCACACATTTAAACTCTGGATTTTTGTAGATTTATCTAAAATTTGTCTCATGACCCAAGTTTCCAGAGTCCCAACTCTGGAGTTTGTTCTCTCTCTGTCTCTCTGCCTCCCTCATTTTAAATTTTACAGAAATATCCAGTAACATAATGCTATAGAAAATCAAGTTTCCCCCAGCACGTCGGGAAGCCGAGGTGGGCGGATCAACTGATATAAGGAGTTTGAGAGCAGCCTGGCAACACAGTGAAACCGTGTCTCTGCTAAAAATCCAAAAATTAGCCGTGCCCAGTGGCAGGAACTTGTAACGCCAGCTACCCAAGAGGCTGAGGCACGAGAATCGCTTGAACCTGGGAGGCGGAGGTTGCAGTGAGCTGAGATTGCACCACTGCAGTCCAGCCTGGGCGACAGAGCAAGACTCCGCCTCAAGAAAAAAAAAAGCAAATAGCCTATAATAACAAATTAGAGGGCTCTGGCTACTAAATTTAAAGGGTTCTATAAGGCTACATAAAGTGTAGCATCATCAAGAGTGTGGACACAGACAGCCCCTTAGCAGAAACTGTCTAAAATACATCCATGTACACACAGTCCCTTTAGAGTTGACAAAGGCTGCCGTGTGGTTTAAGGTGGCATAGAATGTCTTCTCAATAAATAATATTAAACCAATGGGTTACACCTAGTAAAAAATAAATCTAACTCACACTATAAAAACACTTCTTAGTTTTTATCTAGTTGTACATTTTTTGATTTATATTTAAATTTGAGAAATAAAAGTCATATACGGTCATCCTTCACTATTCGTGGGTGATTGGTTTCGAGATCTCCACTCAGATACCAAAATCTGTAGATGCTCAAGCCTCTTATATGAAATGGCACAGCGCTTGCAAATAACATATGCACATCCTCCTGTATACATGAAATCATCTCTTGATTACTTATAATTCCTGATACAGCCTACACACAGCTTCATTTGTGTCCATTCAACATAGTTATGAGTTTTGGAACTCTGTGGATATTTTCTCTGAATATTTTTGATTTATACTTTGTTCAATAAAGACCTGTAAACCCCACAGATACGGAGGAGTGACCGTATATTTATAGTATGAAAGATGATGTGTTGATATGTGTCCCCATGGAGATGAGACTAACAAGGCCTATGACTCTACAAATGTTTCATTGTGGAATGACTCTGCCAGCTTTCCAGGTCTGCAGAGAGTAACAATGTCACTTGTTCATGTGATTCCCGATCCTTGGAACCTCCTATGTGCTGCATCTTTGGATGGAAATTGGAGTCCCAGAGACAAATGAGGCTCCACACTGCTTCCAGAAGCTCAGAGTCCAGAGGTGAGAACCCCGTGGAGAACAGATGGGATTATATGGACATGGTACTGATAACACCGGAAGCCTTAGGCAAGAAAAGAGTCCCATTACCTAAACCATGAGGGCAGACATGTTTATTTGAAGGAGGGAAAACTACATTGAAATTATTTTAAAAAATATATAAGTTTTACTGCTGACAGAAGGCTGAAAGCTAGTCTGAGGGGAGGTGGAACAGCATGAGGGAAGGTGGAACAGCACGTGTCTAAGTGCCGTGTTAAGAGGGAGCCTCTTGTATGTTTGGAATTGTGAGTTCCTCAGTGTGATTGCAGCCTCAAATAGACTAGGAAGTAAGCCAGTTAGGTTGGAGAGGTGGGCAGGGGTCAAGTGAAATGGAGAATTGTGGGCTAAGCAAAGGAGTGTGTTTTCTCTCCAGCAGGCAGTGGGGACCTTAGACATTTGTAAGCAAGAGAGAGGCACGTTCAGATTTGTGGTGTGAGGAAGAGCGATGCCCTAAGATGCAGACTCACGCCTTCAGATTCCAGCTGCTGGTACATTGGAGCTGGCAACCCAGTTTTGAGACAGGGCTGTTGTCTCCCTAGAAGATCCCCTCAAGGCCTGACTGTGGTGCTCATGGGCAGGAGACAACTTTGGATCAGGGCTCAGCATTTGGAAGTTCCGTGTACACGATGATATCTGTTGGGGGTGTCTTGGGCCTCTGAGAAGGGTGAGTGATTTTTCTCTGTGTGAAAACGCAGTGATTCAACTGTGCATATGTCACCTCCTGAGGGTCTTGTTCATCAGAGTCCTGGAGAGAGGGAAATCCTGAGTGAGGGAGGGTGCTCACATTTTCCAGGACTCTTTGGGAATAACACTAGCCACGAGGCTGGGCCGAGGAGCACCTACCTCCCTGTTCACTGTTCTGTTCCCTGCAGGCTCTTGGTCCATTACAACAGCATCTGTAGAAGACGGAAGTCAACAAAACAGCTCAGAGGGCACTTCTGGGCCCTCATTTCATAAGCAGATACCAACATACAGGGGGAGACCATAGGAGCCTGAGGTCCCTCAGTTGCCAACAGCAGACTCAGACATTCTATCTCTCTGAGCTCAAGGACCCATCCCATGAATAGCTCTGAGTTCCCATCCCATTGATTCTGTCTCCCACTTTCTGCCTGTCATGGAACCTTCTCCTGGATGTGAGTGGCTGCAGGGGACATGAGGATACAGTTCAGAATCAGGCAATGGTCTGTGAGCTGAAGGCAGGGACAGGGAGTCTGGTGCTCTCTCTAGAAAGTCCTCCCTCTGTGGCTGCTGCCTTGGGCCAGGGACCATCCTGTCTGTGAGGAACACACACCTGAGTGCTCCCATCCTGCTTCCCCACATGGCCCTGAGCTCTCTGGCCTCTGCTTCGTGAGACTTACTTTTTTTGTTGCAGCACCAGCGATGAAGGAGAAAGAAGAGGAGGAGGATGAAGAGGATGATGACCACTGAGGTCCCAATCAGAACATGCAGGTGTCTGGGGTTACCTGGAAGAAGAGGAGACACCAATAAGAAGCTAATCATAGCAGTTCCTCTTTATGAATTGTCTCACATTTCTTGATTGACAGGTAACCACATACAACACCCCTTTAGGACAAGCACCCAGATGGAGGGAGACCCAGCTTTCTCCTGCTTTCTCAGTTATAGCTCTCATAGTAACCATAGAACGTGTTGAGGATACAACTACTTTAGTTGAGATGTTTGACCCCTTCAAACCTCACATTGAAATTTCACCCCCACTGTGGGAGGTTGGGCCTCTTGAGAGGTGTTTGGGTCATGGAGGTGGATCCATCATGAACAGACCAATGCTGTCCCAAGGAGACGGGGTTAGCAAGTTCCCCTTCTATTAGTTCCTGGAGAGCTGGTTGTTCAAAAGAGCTTGGAAGCTCCATCGCTCCCCCTCCCCCTTGCTCCCTCTCTTGCCGTGTGATCTCTGTGGTCTCTGCACAGACAGACCCTCCTTCCCTTCTGCCAGAGTGGGAGCAGCCTGAGGCCGTCACGAGAAATAGATGCTGGTGCCACGCTTCCAGTATAGCCTGCAGAACTGTGAGGCAAACCAATCTCTTTTCTCTAGAAGTTACCCAGGCTCAAGTGTTCCTTTAGAGCAACAAAAATGGACTAAGACAGCAACGTCCTGAGATCAGGAGGAACGTCTCAGAACAGCCTGGGCTGTCTTCCTGTTCTTCCTGGAGGAGGACGTCATGCAGTGCTTTAGCTGAGTGCTTCCTGTGGCTCCACAGTACAAAACCCAGGCTGGGCTGCTCTCTGGCTTCCCCCAGCTACACTGCAAATGGGGTGACTCCATATGTCCCGAGGAGCTTTTCTGAGCCTTGAGGGACTGGCTCACATTGAAATGTAGGTTTCTGTTGTCACTCGCTGCTTATCTGTTAGTAATGAACCTGCCTGTGTAATGTATTCTCTGTGTGTTCTGTCTCCCTGGAGTGACGGTGAGTGATAGGAATTGGCATAAGCCCAGGTGCAGTCCAGGAGGTATTTAGAGTCTTCTCTGGGAAGACTGCACTGGGATTGATACACAGCGAATGTGCTTTAGGATTTCTACATCCACAGCATTCTTGAATCAAACAACTTGCATTCTCCAAGAAAAGGAAACAAAAGTGAAATCAAGATAAAAAAAGCTAAGTAGAATTCTCTTATGTCAAATGGCCAGGAAATAGTGTTGAAGCCCGTGTGAAACGTGCTACTCTTTGTGATCTCGGGAGACACATGTTAGGCTGCTGTTCTACCCGAGAGGCTGGGGGAAGGACCACCCCCTCGGCCATCTATTGCTTCAATACCACCTGTCCTCCTGTGAATTAGTAGGAAAGGGGAGCAGGAGCTAGTGCTGGCACTGATCTCTGATTCCAAGATCTGGACTCACTCCAAGGAGTATCAATGTTTACCTCCCCATAGCCTATCTGAATCTCCACAGGTGATTGGAAGTAGGGGTGAGGTGGGGGATTTGGGTGAGTGGGCAAGTTTTTTGTTGCGATGAACAGAGCACTTTCTCTATTCCACGATCTGTGCTGGAGGATTCTGAGGGCTTTCACATTTTCTATGTGATCTCATTCTCACAGAAAGCCAAATAGGGAAGAGGTTTTAAGCTCATTGCCTAATGGATAAGATAAAGGATCAAAGAAGTAATTATAGAGAAATAGAAAAACGATGATTGGAATTCAGGTGCCTTTGTCATTCGTGTGTGTTTTATTATATTTATGTATTTCTTATTTTTATTTTTTGAGATAGAGTCTCCTTGTGTCCCCCAGGCTGGAGTGCAGTGATGCAATCTCCACTCACTGCAACCTCCACCTACTGGGTTGAAGTCGTTCTCCTGCTTCATCCTCCAGAATAGGAGCTGGGATTACAGGGATGCACCATCGTGCTCGGCTAATTTTTGTATTTTTAGTAGAGATAGGGTTTCACCACGTTGGCCAGGCTGGTCTGGAACTCCTGACTTCATGGAATCCACCCACCTTGGCCTCCTGCAGTGCTAGGTTACAGGCGTGAGCCACTGTTCACAGACTTGTATATTATGCTATAATAAGTCTCTTCATTTCCACCACCACTCATATATCTGTCACTCCTTTGCCAGGTATTGATTTATGTGTAGGATGAATAAATCTCAGAAAGAAATTAATTAAGCGAGGATTAAACAAGTAGGAAAATCAAACCCAGTAAGCCTTTCCAGTCAACGATTCTACCTCACAAACATATCTTATATCCATCTACTTCATTCATTTAGTGTCTAAATCAGCACCACATTTCACCAGTGGGGCGGCAATTGCCTTTTCCACGGTCTCCTAGATTCCAGTTATGCAACTGAGCCTCCCTTATTTTCATGTCCGTCATATTAATCATGTAGGGATTCCTGGTTACCCCGAGGTGAATCCAATGGCTGTGAGTGTCAAACACACACTCCTTGTTGCTCCTTAGTTTCCTGTGTACCCAGTGTGCTCTCCGTCTCCCTACAGTCGTCTTGTCATTCTCCCCACCTCATTCCCAGCATTTGAGGCAGAGCCTCTTCCTTCCACATCAGATTGTTTTCACCTTTGTGCCTTCACGGCTGACAGCTGTGTGTGCAAAATCCTTCCGCCAATCTTTCAGGGGTTCAATCCGTGTTTTTCATTAATGTCACAAATATCTGAATAGAGAGACCTTCTTTGTCACCTGAAATCATACACTCAGCATTATCTATTATTGATTTTGAATTCTGGCTGGGCACAGTGGCTCACGCCTGTAGTCCCATTACTTTGGCATGCTGAGACGGTCGGATCACTTGAGGTTGGGAGTTTCAGACAAGCTTGGCCAACGTGGTGAAACATCCTTTCTACAAAAAATATACAAAAAGAATTAGCCGGGCACGGTGGCAGTTGCCTGTAATCCCAGCTACTCGAGAGGCGGAGGCAGGAGAATCACTTGAATCCAGGAGACGCAGGTTGCAGTGAGCCAAGATCGTGACACTGCACTGTAGCCTGGAAGACAGAGGGCGACTCTGTCTCAATAAACAAAAGAACAAACAAAAAATAGATTTCATGCACAGATGCTTCCCAATGGATCATTCATTTATAGATCCACTTGTGCATTCATTTTCTGCCCTCCCATTTAACCATCTGCAATATCAGTGTCCCAAGGGCAGCGGCCAAATGCATCTTGTTCACCGTTTGTGGAAGGCAGGAGAATGCTGTCCCACCCCAAAATGTCCCTGTCCTAGCCTCCATAGCTTGTGAATATGTTATTTTACATGGAAAGGAGGAATGAAGATTGTAGATGGAATTGCGGTTGCTAATCAGCTGAACTTAAAACAAGGGTATCCTGGATGATTTCCAGGAGATTATGAGGGATTTTCATCTTGGTGAACCCAATAGAATCCCCAAGTTTTCAAAAGATAAGGAAGAAGGGAGAGCAGCATTCAGAGAAAGAGGTGTGGTAAGGAAGAAGGCACTGAGTGATGCCATGTGAGATGTGACCAGTCTTTGTGGGCTTTGAGGAAGGAGGAAGGGGAACAGGAGCCAAGGAACTGGGAGCCTTTAGAAGCTGGGATAAGTGAGAAGCAGATTCTTGCCTGGAATCCTCAGAGGGAAGGCAGCCTTGCTGTCACCTTGATTTTAGCCCAGTAAGATGCACTTCCTACTTTGAGCTACAGCACTGTAAGATAATTAAAAAACCGTTTTGTTTTCACCCACGAATCTTGTGGAAATTTGTTATGGCAACAATAGGAAAAGGTTCCGCACTGCACAGCCTGAGCATGGGGCCGTGGCTGAATGAGTCAGTGAGTCGAAGTGTGCGTGCATGAGCTCCGTTCTCTGTTACGGCAAGGCTGTTGCTCTGCTGAGTCAGCCAGGGTTGCTTCATGACCAACAGTAATTCATTCCTTGGCAAGTGGAACTTCTCTAAAACACCTCGCCCTCATCAGATGTTCCCTTCCCTTCCCTCTCTCAAGCCCCCAGGAATTTATCCTCCAGTTAGGAATGCAGGCAGAACAAACATTGCATTTTTCCTGAGAAGGATGTCAGATTGGCAATCATTCTTCTAGCTTGTAGGAGATCTCAGCTCCATAAAATGAGAGATTAAGAGATTTCACTGAGCCCTAGGTTGGGCCCAGATCCCTTTCGCTGTTGGAGTATCTGGAGTTCGGAGATGGTAGAAGACAGGCGTACAATGTCAGAGCTGCGAGATGCTGAGTCAATGCCTGCATCGAAGGTTTCTACCTCCCCAGGTTTCCAAAAGCGGATATAAGAGGGTTCTGTACTCACCGGTTTCGGAGCTTGGTTCAGTGGGTGAAAGCCAACTATTTGAAGGGTTTCCTAGAACATGAGACAGGAGAGAGGTGAGGAAATGAGGGTGTCTGTCCTCTACTCAATGGAAATCTTTGAGGTTGGTTCATGGCCAACACTCTGTTATCTAATATTGGGCCCTGGGAGTCCTGGGATCCTTTTTTCCGTAATTTTTGTATGTGACGCCCACTGTCTTGAGACTTCAAGGTATAAAGAGAAAACAGGAGCATCACACTACCTGATCTCAAAATATGTTACAGAGCTGTAGTAAGCAAAACAGCATCACATTGGCATAAAGAAAGGCACGTAGAACAATGGAGCAGAATGAAGAACACAGATATAATCCATGCATTTACCTCCAATGTTTTTTTCTTTTTTCTTTTGAGATGGAGTCTCGCTCTGTCGCCCAGGCTGGAGTGCAGAGGTGCAATCTCGGTTCACTGCCACCACAGCCTCCTGGGTTCAATCAATTCTCTGGCCTCAAACTCCTGAGTAGTGGTATTACAGGTGCTGACCACCATGCTCAGCTAATTTTTATATTTTTAGTGGAGACAATGTTTCATCACGTCGGCCAGACTAATCTTGAACTCCTGGCCTCAGGTGATCCACCCGCCTTGGGCTCCCAAAGTGCTGAAATTGCAGGTGTCAGCCACCATGCCCAGCCCATCCAATGGACTTTGACAAAGGTGCCAAGAACTCACAATCAGGAAAGGACAGTCTTTTCAATAAACAGTGCAGGGAAACCTGGACATCTACATGCAGAGGAATGAAACTGCACCTCTACCTGTCACTATACACAAAACTCAAATGAAAATGGATTAAAGATGTGAGTCTAAGGCCTGAACCTATGAAACACGTAGAAGAAAATATTGGGGAAATGCTCCAGGACATTTGTCTGAAGGAAGACATTTTGTTTTAAACCTTCAAAACACAAGTAATCGAAGCAAAAATAGACCATTGGGATTACCTCAAACTAAGCAACTTCTGCACCGCTAAAAATAAACCAACAAAGTGAAGAGACAACCCACAGATTGGGAGCAAATATGTGCAAACTATGCATCTGAGATGGGATTAATAACTAGAAATATAAGAAGCTCAAACAACTCAATAAAACAAATGATTTAATTGAAAAAGGAGCAAAACACATGAAATTTCCCCACATACTAAAAAGTGCTCAGTTTCACTCATCATCAGAGAAACACAAATTAAAATCAAAGTGAGTTTTCATCTCACCCCATTAAAATGGATTTTAGGCCGGGCGTGGTGGCTCACGTCTGTCATCCTAGACCTTTGAGAGCCTGAGGTGGGTGAATCTCATAAGGTCGGGAGTTTGAGACCAGTCTGACCCACATGGAGAAACACTGTCTCTACTAAAAATACAAAATTTAGTTGGGCGTGGTGGCGTGTGCCTGTAATTCCAGCTACTCGGGAGGCTGAGGCAGGAGAATCGCTTGAACCTGGGAGGTGGAGGTTGTGGTGAGCCGAGATCGCACCACTGCACTCCAGCCTGGGTGACAAGAGCGAAACTCCATCTCAAAATAAAATGAAATAAAATAAAATGGCTTTTAGCTGCAAGACAGGCAAAGGAAATCCTGCCAAAGTGGTAGAGAAAGGAGAACCCTAATACCCTGTTGGTAGGAGTGTAAATTAGTACAGCCTTTACGGAGAAAAGTGTGGAAGTCCTTTAAAGAACTAAAAAGAGGTTGGGTGAGGTGGATCATGCCTGTAATCCCGGCACTTTGGGAGACCGAGGCGGGCACCTCAGTTGAGGTCATGAGTTTGAGAGCAGCCCAGCCAACATGGGGAAACCGCATCTATACTAAAAAAAACAAAAAGTAGCCAGGCATGGTGGCGTGCACCTGTAATCCCAGCTACTAGGGAGGCTGAGGCAGGAAAATCATTTGAACCCAGGAGGCGGAGGTTGCAATGAGCCAAGATGACTTCACTTGTACTCCAGCCTGGGCACAGAGGGAAACTGTCTCAAAAACAAAAACAAAACAACAAACGAATAACTAAAAAGAGAACTTTCATAGTATCCAGCAATTTCACTACTGGGTTTATATCCAAAGGAAAGTAAATCAATATATCGAAGTGATATCTGCACTCGTATGATTGGTGCAGCACTGTTCACAGTAGCCAAGATGTGGAGTCAACCTACCTGCCCATCAGTGGATGAATGGATAGAGAGAATGTAGTACATACGCACAGTGGAGACTACTCATCCATAGAAAGAATAACATCCTGATATTTGCAGCCACATGGATGGAACTGGAAGTCATTACAAAGATTCCCATTTCTCACCCATATACAGAGCTAAAAGGTGGATCTCATGAAGGTAGAGAGTAGAATGGTGGCTTCCAGAGGCCAGGAATAAAAGGGTGGAGGGTAAAAAAAAAAAAAAAAAAAAAAAAAATATATATATATATATATATATATATATATATATATATATATATGTATATATGTGTGTGTGTGTGTATATATATATATATATATATATATATAAATGTATTTATGACCACTAGACTTTACACTTAAAAATGGTAAATGTGGCTGGGCGTGGTGGCTCATGCCTGTAATCCCAGCACTTTGGGAGGCAGATGCGGGTGGATCACGTGGTCAGGAGTTGGAGACCAGCTCGACCAACATGGTGAAACCCCCTCTCTACTAAAAATACAAAAAGTAGCCTGGCGTGGTGGTGCGCGCCTGTAGCACCAGCTACTCAGGTGGCTGAGGCAGGAGAATCACTTGAACCCAGGAGGCGGAAGTTGCAGTGAGCTGAGATTGTGCCACTGCACTCCAGCATAGGGGACAGAGCTAGACTCTGCCTCAAAAAAAAAAAAAATGTTAAAGGTGGTAAGCTATATAGGTATATTTATCCTCAATAAATATTTCTTCAAACAAAAGTAAAGGGTGTAGGGGTTGCTGGTGATGACATCCCTGTGTGGGTGAGAGGCCAGGATGGGCTTCTGGGAAATGGGTAATGTTGAGGGGCTGAGGGAACCTCTGATCTTCCCAAACTGAGCCCAGTCTCTCTCCTCTGCGTCTCTCCTGACCGTTTTCTCCATCTGCCTGTGTGCCTGGAGCCCTGGCCGCGGGCCTTCATGCAGGCCGTGTAGGAGGGTTTGGAGGTGCCCTGTCTGCCATCCTGTGCCCTGATCCCTCCCTCACACCCAAGCTTCGTCTTCTCTCTGCATCTGTCCATGCTTCTCTCCATCATCAGCAGGAAGCTCCTCAGCTAAGGCTCTAGGATCATAGGACATGAGACAGATATGGGGTTTCCTCACCTGTGACAGAAACAAGCAGTGGGTCACTCGAGTTTGACCACTCGTATGGAGAGTCACGGAAAGAGCCGAAGCATCTGTAGGTTCCTCCGTGGGTGGCAGGGCCCAGAGGAAAGTCGGCCTGGAATGTTCCGTTGACCTTGGGCCCTGCAGAGAACCTACGTTCATGGGCCTCCCCCTCCCTGGATAGATGGTACATGTCATAGGAGCTCCGGGAGCTGCAGGACAAGGTCACGCTCTCTCCTGCCAGAACCGTGGGGCCCGGCTGGGCTGAGAGAGAAGGTTTCTCATATAGACCTGGAGGAGAAGAGGCATTTTCCTTACGGAGGATCTTCCTTGTCACAGCTCCCTTCACCTGAGCTGAGAACTCACTCCCCTGCTCTATGACCTAATGCTCTCTCTCTCTCTCTCTCACCCTCCACCCCATCTCTCTTCATGTCTATTTCCTTCTTCCACCTTCTCTGTCTCTCTAGGTCTCTGACCTCGCTTCCCCACCTCTAGATATGTTTTCCCTTTTTGGATTCTTTTATTCTCTCTGACTCTCCTTGGATTGGTTGACTTGATGTTACTTTTTTAAATTCTAAGTTTCTCACGTTGTGTCCTGTTCATAACTTTCTGCATATTTCTATCTATTATCTGTCGATCTATCTATTTATCTATTCGGTGTCTATCTACAAATTCTCTACCTGTCATCTATATCTATATATCATCTATGTATCTATCACTTGTCTATCTATCCATCAATCATCTGTTATTTATATGTATGTATCATCTCTCTCTCTATGATTTCTGTCTGCCTCTCTATCTGTACGTATTATCTGTCTTCATCATCATCATCTCTATGTATTATCTATTAATGAATCAATCAATCATCATCTATGTATCTTTAACCTATTATCTATCATCTACCTATTTATCATCTATCTATATCTATCCATCTATCATCTGTCTTGCTCTGCCTCTCGGTCTCTCTAGCTCTCTTTGGAATCTCTGCAATTCATCCCCACATCTCCATGTTTCTATGTCCTTGTGCCTCTCTCTCAGGACTCTAATTTTAGTGCTTTTCTCTGCTCCCTGCCATCATTCTCACCACTCCTCTGCCCTCTTTTCTCTCTCTTTATGTGTCTGTGAGTCTCTCAATCTCCTTCCTCTGGCTCATTCTCTGTGTGTTTATGTCTTTGCTTTTTGGTGTTCCTGATTTTTCTCTGTGCCTCTCAGTGATCCTTTCATATGTGGGGTTATTTGGAATGTGAGCCACAGAATCCAGTCTGGAGACCACAAGTTCACACAGCATACAGGGGTTGGTGTTCTGGGGCCATGATATCCTGGGACGATTACTCTCCATTACATGGAAGGCAGAGGTGTCAGAATAAACATGGCCTGTAGGTGCCACAAGGCCTGAGGCCACAGGGCCCAACTCAGGTCATAAATATGGGTGTCCTTGGGTTCTCCTGGTAGAGAACACTTTGTGGAGGTAAAACAGAAATGAAACTTCTAACCTGTGCCAGGTCTGTGAGCAAAGTCAGCATGGAGGGACACCTCTCTCTGGGACATGTCTGTCTGTCTGTCTCTTTTAACTCTTTCTGTCTTTTCTAACTCCCTGTATGGCCCCTGTGTCTGTCCTCTGTTATGACACCTGGTCTGTACTTGTGTCTCCTGTTTCTCTGTCTCTGTTGGTACAAACCTCAGCAAGTCAGTCTCTCTCCATAAGAATACCAAGCTCATCTTCCTTACAACTACCTGGGGGTTCCAAGTCGTGGATCATTCACTCTGCATCCCAATGACAATGAGAATGTCCGGACACTCTCACCTGTGATGACGATGTCCAGAGGGTCACTGGGAGCTGACAACTGATAGGGGGAGTGAGTAACAGAACCGTAGCATCTGTAGGTCCCTGCAAGGTCTTGCATCATGGGACCGATGGAGAAGTTGGCCTTGGAGACCCCATCATGGTGCTCTCCAATGAGGTGCAAAGTGTCCTTAAACTTCCCTTCTCTGTGCAGAAGGAAGTGCTGAAACCTGACATCTGACCAACATTGCAGGATGACTGTCTCTTCTGATTTCACCAGGGGACCTGGGTGGGCCAGGAGGGAAGGTTTTCTGTGGACTCCTAGGAAGAGAGGTTGTGAGTTTAGAAGGTGTCTCTCTTTATCATCCCATCCATGGCACCTAGAATGAGTGAGGCTTCCCCTTGCTGGTGTCTGTCTCTCTCCTTCCTCTCTGTGTCTTCATGTTCTTTTCTGTGCCCTTAACTCCTGGTGCAGGTCCTTCCATCTGTCTCCCTCCCTCTTCTCTGTCCCTCTGTCTCTAGTAGCCTCTGATTCCCTTCCCACTGGGCTTAGCCTCATCTCTTGGGGTGTTGTATCTATTTCACACTAATGTATTTCCTGCTGTTTATGTGGGGGTGAAAGAGGAACCAGGATAGGCTGCACATCCAGGCTCTTATCAGCCTGGTTCAATCTCTTTTGGATGAATTGCAATCCTTGGCAGAAGGTATGAACTGATGAATAAGGCAGGCACCAGTGTCCACACACCCTGTTCCTGGTGGGGACTGGGAGCCACTCTTGCCATGCCTGTGCCTTCTCCATGGTGCCAGCTTCCATAGGCTGGCTCCTGGTGCTGGTTGGAGGAGTATCAACCCCTCCCTATGTGGATGGAGCCTGGTGGTGGCATCATCATCCCACCCTTGCTGATCTCAGGGTAGCCAACCTTCTCCTTGTTTGGTTTCTTTAATTAATTAATTAATTTTGGAGACAGAGTCTCACTCCTTCACCCAGGCTGGAGTGAAGTGGTGTGGTCTAGGCTCACTGCAACCTCTGTCTCCTGGGTTCAAGTGATTCTCCTGCCCTCAGCCTCCTGAGTCGCTAGGATTACATGCACCTGCCACCATGCCTGGCTTTCCTTGGGTTGTTTCTTAACTTGTCCTTGACCTGGGTTCCAGTGTTGGTTTCCTGTTGCTGCTGTAGAAAATTATCAGAAGCATGGCAGCAGGAGAGACCACACTGACACCTTCCAGTACTGGAGACAGAAATTGGACCCTATTTTTCCTGGGCTAAAATCAAGGCATCTGCAGGGCTTTGTTCCCTCTGGAGACTCTGGAGAATCAGTTCCTTGACTTTTCCAGCCTCTATAGGCCACCTGCATTCATGGCTCTTGGCCTTCCTCCACCTTCAAAGCTGGTGAAGACTTCCACTGGACTGCTCTAATCCCCACTCCCCTCTTCCTCCTCCTTTCATGTGCACCCTTGTGATTACACTGAGCCCAGTGGGACAGTCCAGGCTGTCTCCCCATGAGCTCCATCTTCCCCTTCAGTCCCTTCCCCTATAACATAAATAGTCACAGACTCCAGGGATTAGAATGTAGTCATCACTGGGGACAATTATTCTTCCCACCACAGCACCCATTTCCCTGTATTCAATCCCCCTTTACCACAAATACAGTCAGGGCCTGCGTGATGGGACCCTCAAGGACATGCCCACCA
Organism: Homo sapiens; assembly: GCF_000001405.40. Taxonomy (NCBI): domain Eukaryota; kingdom Metazoa; phylum Chordata; class Mammalia; order Primates; family Hominidae; genus Homo; species Homo sapiens. The sequence goes on along the minus strand of NW_016107313.1, from coordinate 42,228 downwards.
GAAGCTCTGGGATTCAGGAGGTGGGACAAGGAGAATCCAAGACAGGAGCCCTCTGACCTATGACCACGATCACCAGGGGGTTGCTGGGTGCTGACCACCCACTGGGGGAGTGTGTGTGTGAACCCCGACATCTGTATGTCCCTGTGTGTGCGGGGGTCACAGGGCCCATGAAAAGGCTGTTCCAGAATATTCTGTTGTAGAGCTCAGGGACAGGCACCCCACCTTCCTTGTACAGACTGAAGTTGTTAAACCCAAGATAAGAGTGACACCGAAGAATGACATGTCCTAGAGGCACCACAAGGCTGGGCCAGGCAGACAGCAAGGGCTTGTCCTGACCACCTTGGGGAGAAGGAGGCGCCGCCTTAGAGAGGAGGATGTGGAACTGCCCTTCCCTCCCTGTGCTCAGAAGATTCTCCTCGCTTTCCACGTTTCTATGGCTACTATCACACCTTGGTGCCCAGGGCTGAAGGAAGGACCCATCCCGCAAAGACATGGTGTCTCCCTACAACAAAAGCCTCAGCTGAGAACTTTGAGCAAGTGCTGAGTAAAGAGACTCCTACTAGATTTTAATACTGTAAGATTACTCACATAAAACAACACAGGGTAGACATGAGGTGGAGGGCATGTCCTTTGTGAATGGATATCAGCGGATGCCTGAACGAAAATAAACAACTGAGCCCCCATCAGAGGATTTGGAATGTCAGGGCCATGGCTGTGGTTTCCCACCTCTTCTGGTAGAATGACAGCAGCCACACTGCAGCCCCTACCATCATGGAAACGCTGAAGTGTGTGAGTAACACCTTTGTCCTCAGAGGATCTGCTGTTCCTACCACTTCCCAACCACACACCCCAGCTTTGAGCACCCCAGTCTAACCCTGGTCCCCACAGAACTTGACTCTGCCAAGGGGTTGAGAGGCCAGGGAGGCGAGGTCAGAAATGTGGGCTGAGCACCCCAGGGTCCTCTCTTCCTAGTTTATGAGAGACTCCCCGACAGGACTTCCCTCCTGTTTCAGGAAAATCCTCTTATGTGGGGAGATGACACCCGAAGGTTTGGAGAAGGACTCACCCTCATGTGGCCAGGCCCCCTGCAGCAAGAAGAACCCTGGAAAGAAAGATCATGATGGACCATCCATCTGCAGGCAAACCAGGCCTCCCTTGCTGCCCCCACTGGGCTGTGAGTCTTGGCAGCCAGGCCCTTCCTGGGCTGAAGTTAAACTCACCCTCAGTGCCTACCTGCACCCAAGAACAGGGCTGTCGGCTGTGCAGAGACCCAGTTTCCAGGCCCATATCCCCACCCCAAGCCCATATCTCCACTCCAGGCTGATATTTCCACCCTAGGCCCATATCGCCAATCCAGGCTCAGATCTCCACCCTAGGCCCCTATCTCCAATCCAGTCCCATATCTCCGCCCCAGGCCCAGATCTCCACCCTAAGCCCATATCTCCACTCCAGGCCCATATCACCTCTCCAGTCCCATATCTCCACACCCAGGCCCATATCTCCTTCCTAGGCCCATATCTCCACTCCAGGCCCAGATATCCACCTCTAGGCCCATAACTCCACTCCTGGCCCATATCTCCACTCCAGGCCCATATCTCTACTGCAGGCCCGTATCTCCACCTCCAGACCCATATCTCCACTCCAGGCCCATATCTCCACCTCCAGGCCCATATCTCCACCTCCAGGCCCATATCTCCACTCCAGGCCCATATCTCCACTCCAGGCCCATATCTCCACTCCAGGCCCCTATCTCTACTGCAGGCCCATATCTCCATCTCCAGGCCCATATCTCCATCTCCAGGCCCATGTCTCCACTACAAGCCCATATCTCTACTGCAGGCCCATATCTCAACCTCCAGGCCCATATCTCCACTCCAGGCCCAGATCTCCACTCCAGGCCCAGATCTCCACTTCTAGGCCCATCACTCCATCTCTAGGCCCATAACTCCACTTCCAGGCCTATATCTCCAACTCTGGGCCCCGATCTCCATCCCCGCACTCCCTCCCTCGATGCCCTTCCAGGACTCACCAACACACACCATGCTGACGACCATGAGCGACATGGTGCTGTCTGTGCAGACAGGCGGCCGCGCCCCAGCTCAGCTCAGCAGCGCACAGGATGTTATTTGGCGCCCTGCCCATGCAGTTTACATGTTGACCACATCATGGGAGGGTGACGTACGCAGGCTCTTTCTACCTTGCATGAGGCCCAGTGGGTGCTCGCTCAAGAGCGGAACATGGCTTCCTGGAAATTGTTCTCACTAGAATTGACACCTTGCGTCCTTCACTACGACCAGACTCAAAAGACGTCTCAGATCCAACCTCTCATACACGAGATGATTGAATTCTGTGCTTACATTAAAGATTTTTGATGTATTTTTGTTTTTATCTGAGATTCAAACTCTTCTTCATATGTAATGTGCAAAATGTCTAACAGGTATTATTAACATTATCAGAGTAATTGTGACAAGAAGCCATTCTAATTTTCCTGCTTGAGTTTCTACTACTAAACCAGAGGCATCAGAATAGCTTGAACCTGGGAGACGGAGGTTGCAGTGAGCTGAGCTCAAGCCACTGAACTCCAGCTTGGGTGACAGAGGAAGAGTCTGTCTCAAGAAAAAAAAAAAAAGCAAACTAAATAACCTATAATAACAAATCAGAGGACTCAGGTTACCAAATTTTAAGGGGTTCTATAAGTTTATATAAAATGCAGCATCCTCATGAGAGGGGATACAGAGAACCACTGGACAGAAAACTGTGTCTAAAATACATCTGTGGATACACAGTCCCTTTATAGTTGACAAAGGCTGCCATGTAGTTTAAGGTGGAATAGAATATTTTCTCAACAAATAACACAGGACCATAGGGTTACACGTAGGAAAAAATAAATCTAAACTTATCCTCACACTATAAAAACACTTCTTATTTTTTATCTTGTTGTTGTAAATTTTTTATGCTTTATTTTTAAGATTGACAAATAAAAATTATATACCATGGTCCTTCACTATACCTGGGTGATTGGTTCCAGGATCCCCATTCAGATACCAAAATCTGCAGATGCTCAAGCCCCTTGCATGAAATGGCATAGTGAAGCTGGGCACCGTGGCTCACGCCTGTAATCCCAGCACTTTGGGAGGCTGAGCTGGGTAGATCACAAGGTCAGGAGTTCAAGACCAGCTGGTCCAACATTCTGAAACCCCATCTCTACTAAAAATATACACACAAAAAAATTTATCTGTGCAGGGTGGCACGTGCCTGTAATCCTAGGGGAGGCTACTGGGGAGGCTGAGGGAAGAGAATCGCTTGAACCTGGAAGGCGGAGGTTGCAGTGAGTTGAGATCACGCCACTGCACTCCAGCCTGGGTGAGAGAGTGAGACTGTCTCAAAAAAAAAAAAAAAATAGCATAGCAATTGCATAGAACCCATGCACATCCTCCTGTATACATGAAATCATCTCTTGATTACTTATAATTCCTGACACAGCCTACACGCCACTCAATTTGTGTCGATTCAACATAGTTTTTTGCTTTTTGAAACTTCGGGGATTTTTTTTCTCAAAATATTTTTGATTTATTGCTGATTCAATAAACATGTGTAAACCCCAGAGATATGGAGGAGTGACTGTCTATTTATAGTAGTATGAAAGATGATGTGTTGATACGTGTCCCTGTGGAGATGAGACTAACAAGGCCTATGACTCTACAAATGTTTCATCGTGGAATGACTCTGCCAGCTTTCCAGATCTGCAGAGAGTAAGAATATCACTTGTTCATCTGATTCACCATCCTTGGAACCTCCTATGTGCTGCATCTTTGGATGGAAATTGGAGTCTCAGAGACAATTCAGGCTCCACCATGCTTCCAGAAGCTCAGAGTCCAGGGCTGAGAACCCAGCGGAGAACAGATGGGGTTATGTGGACGTGGTAATGATAACACCGGAAGCCTTAGGCAAGAAAAGAGTCCCATTGAAGAAACCATGAGGGCAGACATGTTTACTTGAAGAATAGAAAACTACATTGAAATTATAAAAAAAATTTATAAGTTTTACTGCTGACAGAAGGCTGAAAGATACTCTGAGGAAAGGTGGAATAGCACGTATCTAAGTGCCGTGTTAAGAGGGAGCCTCTTATATGTTTGGAATTGTGAGTTCCTCAGTGTGATCGCAGCCTCAAGTAGACTAGGAAGTAAGCCAGTTAGGTTGGAGAGGTGGGCAGGGGTCAAGTGAAATGGAGAATTGTGGGCTAAGCAAGTGTGTTTTCTCTCCAGCAGGCAGTGGGGACCTTAGACATTTGTAAGCAAGAGAGAGGCATGTTCAGATTCGTGGTGTGAGGAAGAGCGATGCCCTAAGATGCAGACTCACGCCTTCAGAGTCCAGCTGCTGGTACATGGGAGCTGGCAACCCGGTTTTGAGACAGGGCTATTGTCTCCCTAGAAGATCCCATCAAGGCCTGACTGTGGTGCTAGTGGACAGAAGACAACTTTGGATCTGCGCTCAGCATTTGGAAGTTCCGTGTTACACGCTGGTATCTGTTGGGGGTGTCTTGGGCCTCTGAGAAGGGCGAGTGATTTTTCTCTGTGTGAAAACGCAGTGATTCAACTGTGCGTATGTCACCTCCTGAGGGTCTTGTTCATCAGAGTCCTGGAGGGAGGGAAATGCTGAGTGAGGGAGGGTGCTCACATTTTCCAGGACTCTTTGGGAATAAGACTAGCCACGAGGCTGGGCGGAGGAGCACCTACCTCCCTGTTCACTGTTCTGTTCCCTGCAGGCTCTTGGTCCATTACAACAGCATCTGTAGAAGACGGAAGTCGTCAAAACAGCTCGGAGGGCACTTCTGGGTCCTCATTTCATAAGCAGATACCAACATACAGGGGGAGGCCATAGGTGCCTGAGGTCCCTCAGTTGCCAACAGCAGACTCAGACATTCTATCTCTCTGAGCTCAAGGATCCATCCCATGTATAGCTCTGAGTTCCCATCCTATTGATTCTGTGTCCCACTTTCTGCCTGTCATGGAACCTTCTCCTGGATGTGAGTGGCTGCAGGGGATGTGAGGATACGGTTCAGAATCAGGCAATGGTCTGTGAGCTGAAGGCAGAGGCAGGGAGTCTGGTGCTCTCTCTAGAAAGTCCTGCCTCTGTGGCTCCTGCCTTGGGCCAGGGACCATCCAGTCTGTGAGGAACACACACCTGAGTGCTCCCATCCTGCTTCCCCACATGGCCCTGAGCTCTCTGGCTTCTGCTTCGTGAGACTTACTCTTTTTGTTGGCACACCAGCGATGAAGGAGAAAGAAGAGGAGGATAGCAAAGGGGATGATGACCACTGAGGTCCCAATCAGAACGTGCAGGTTTCTGGAGTTACCTGGAGGAAGACAAGACACCAATAAGAAGCTAATCATAGCAGTTCCTCTATATGAATTGTCTCACATTTCTTGATTGACAGGTAACCACATACAACGTCTCTTTAGGACAAGCACCCAGATGGCGGGAGACCTAGCTTCCTCCTGCTTTCTCAGTTGTAGTAACCATAGAACGTGCTGAGGATACAACTGCTTTAGTTTAGATGTTTGACCCCTTCAAACCTCACATTGAAATGTAACCCCCAGAGTGGGAGGTTGGGCCTCTTGGGAGTTGTTTGGGTCATGGAGGTGGATCCATCATGAACAGATCAATGCTGTTCCAAGGAGACGGGGTTAGCAAGTTCCCCCTCTATTAGTTCCTGGAGAACTGGTTGTTAAAAGAGCTTGGAAGCTCCATCGCTCCCCCTCCCCCTTGGTCCCTCTCTTGCCGTGTGATCTCTGTGGTCTCTGCACAGACAGACCCTCCTTCCCTTCTGCCAGAGTGGGAGCAGCCTGAGGCCGTCACAAGAAATAGATGCTGGTGCCATGCTTCCAGTACAGCCTGCAGAACTGTGAGGCAAACACATTTCTTGTCTTTAGAAGTTACCCAGGCTCAAGTGTTCCTTTAGAGCAACAAAAATGGACTAAGACAGCAACGTCCTGAGATCAGGAGGAACATCCCAGAACAGCCTGGGCTGTCTTCCTGTTCTTCCTGGAGGAGGACGTCATGCAGTGCTTTAGCTGAGTGCTTCCTGTGGCTCCAGGGTACAAAACCCAGGCTGGGCTGCTTTTTGATTTCCCCCAGATACACTGCATATGGGGTGACTCCACATGTCTCGAGCAGCTTTTCTGAGCCTTGAGGGACTGGCTCACATTGAAATGTAGGTTTCTGTTGTCACTCGCTGCTTATCTGTTAGTAATGAACCTGCCTGTGTAATGTGTTCTCTGTGTGTTCTGTCTCCCTGGAGTGACGGTGAGTGATAGGAATTGGTATAGGCCCAGGTGCATTCCAGGAGGTGTTTAGAATCTTCTCTGGGAAGACTGGATTGGGATTGATACACAGCGAATGTGCTTTACAGTTTCTACCACCACAACCCTCTTGACTCAAAAAAATTACATTCTCCAAGAAAAGAAAGAAAAAATGAAATCAAGATAAAAAAAGTGAAGTAGAACTGACTTAAATCAAACAGCCATGAAATAATGATGTAGCCCAGGAACAACATGCTACTTTTTGTGATCTGCTGAGACATATATTAGGCTGCTATTCCACCCGAGAAGCACGGGGAAGGACCGCCCTCTCCGTCGTTTATTGTTTCAATACAGCCTGTCCTTCTGTGAGTTAGTACGAAATGTGACCAGGGGCTAGTGCTGGCACTGGTCTCTGAGTCCAAGATCTGAGCTCACTCCAAAGAGTATTAGTGTTTACCTCCCCATGATCTATCTGTATCTCCATAGGTGATTGGAAGTAGAGATGAATTGGGGGATTTGGGTGAAGGGGCAAGTTTTATGCCATGAACAGAGCACGTTCTCTATTCCAGGACCTGTGCTGGTGGGTTCAGGAGGCTTTCACATTTTCCATATGATCCCAAGCTCACAGAAAGCCAAATAAGGAAGAGGTTTAACCTGATTGTTTAATGGATAAGATAAAGGGTCAAAGAATTAAACACAGAGAAATAGAAAAATGATGGTTGGTATCCAGTTGCCTTTGTAATTTCTGTGTGTCATAATTATGTATGTTTTATTTTTATTTTTTGAGACAGAGTCCCCCTGTGTCAGGCTGGAGTGCAGTGATGCGATCTCAGTTCAACCTCTGCCTCCAGGGTTGAAGCCATTCTTCTGCTTCAGCCTCCCCAGTCGCTGGGATTACAGGCAGGTGCCAATGCACCAGGCTAATTTTTGTATTTTTAGTACAGACGGGGTTTCACCATGTTGGCCAGGCTGGTCTCAAACTCCTACCCTTAAGTGATCTACCCGCCTTGGCCTCCCAAAGTGTTGGGTTACAGGTGTGAGCCCCCATCCACAGTCTTGTATATTATATTATACTAGGTCCCTTCATTTGCACCACCCCTCATGTGTCTATCGCTCCTCTGCCAGGTATTGATTTAGATGTAGAAAAAAAACACATCTCAGAAAGAAATTAATGAAACAAGGATTAAACTACTAGGAAAAATCAAACCCAGCAAGCCCTCCCTGCAAATGATTCTACCTCACAAGCATAGCTTATATCCATCTTTCATTCATTTAGTGTGTAAATCAACCCTACGTTTCACCAGTGGGGCGGGAATTGCCTTTTCCACGGTCTCCTAGATTCCAGTTACGCACCTGGGCCTCCCTTATTTTCATGTCGGTCACTGTTAATCAGGTAGGGATTCCTAGTTAGCTCTGAGTTGAATCCAAGGGCTGTGAGTATCAAAAACATGCTCCTTGTTCCTCCTTAGTTTCCTGTGTACCCAGTGTGCTCTCCATCTCTCTACAGTTGTCTTGTCATTCTCCCCATCTCATTCCCAGCATTTGAGGCAGAGCCTCTTCCTTGAACTAAGAATGTTTCCACCTTTGTGCCTTCACGGCTGAGAGCTCAGTGTGGAAAATCCTTCCGCCAATCTTCCAAGGGTTGAATCCATTTTTTCCATTAAGGTCACAAATATTATCTGATCAGTGAGACCTTCTCTGTCACCTGAAATTATATACTCAGCATTATCTATTACTTATTTTAAATCCTGGCTGGGCGCAGTAGCTCTCGCCTGTAATCTTTGCACTTAGGGACGCTAAGGCGGTGGGATCACTTGAGATTGGGAGTTTGAGACAGCCTGCACAACATGGTGAAACCTCATTTCTACTAAAAAATATACCAAAAAAATTAGCCGAGTGTGGTGGCGCACAGCTGTAATCCCAGCTACTCGGTAGGCTGAGGCAGGAGAATTGCATGAACCCAGGAGGCAGAGGTTGCAATGAGCTGAGATTGTGCTACTGCACTCCAGCCTGTGGAACAGAGAGAGACTCTACTCAAAAAAAAAAAAGAAAACAAAAAACACACACACACACAAAAAACCCCAGATTTGGTGCACAGATGCTTCCCAATGGATCATTCATTTATTGGTACCCTTGTGCATTCATTCTCTGCCCTCGCATTTACCCATCTGCAATATCAGCGTCCCAAGAGCAGAGGCCAAATGCATCCTGTTTACCATTTGTGGAAGGCAGGAGAATGCTGCCCCACCCCCAAAATGTCCCTGTCTTAGCCTCCATAGCTTGTGAATATGTTATTTTACAGGAAAGGAGGAATGAAGATTGCAGATGGCATTACGGTTGCTAATCAGCTGAACTTAAAAAGAGGGTACGCTGGATGATTTTAGGGAGATTGAGATGGATTATCTTGGTGACCCCAATAGAATCCCAAAGTCCTTAAAAGATGAGGAAGAAGGCAGAGCAGGATTCAGAGAAAAAGGTATGGGTAAAGAAGAAGAGTCTGAATGATGCCATGTGAGACGTGACCAGCCTTTGTGGGCTTTGAGGAAGGAGGAAGGAGGAAGGGGACCAGGGGCCCAGGAACGTGGGAGCCTCTAGGAGCTGGGAAACGTTAAGGAGCAGATTCTTGCTTGGAACCTTAAAAAGAAATCCAGCCTTACTGTCCCTTTGATATCAGCCCAGTGAAATGCAGTTCATACTTCTGAGTTACAGCACTGTGAGATAATTAAGAAAAACATGTTTTCATCCACGAAGCTTGTGGAAATTTGTTATGGCAACAATAGGAAAAGATTCCACACTGCACAGCCAGAGCATGGGGCATTGGCTGAACGAGTGAGTGAGTGGAAGTGTCGTGTGCATAAATAAGCTAAATTCTCTCTTACTGCACGTCTCTTGCTCTGCTGAGTCAACCAGGGTTGCATCTGGTACACTGCTGATACGAATGCAAATTAGTACAGCCATTACAGAGGAGAAGAGTATGGAAGTTCCTCAAAAAATAAAATGAGGTCGGGCACAGTGGTTCATGCCTGTAATCCCAGCACATTGGGAGGCCGAGGTGGGTAGGTCACTTGAGGTCAGGAGTTGAAGAGCAGCCTGGCCAATATAGCGAAACTCTGTCTCTACTAAAAATATAAAAATTAGCCGAGTGTGGTGGTGGGAGCCAGTAACCCAGCTACTTGGGAGGCTGAGGCTGGGGAATCTCTTGAATCCTGGAGGTGGAGGTTGCAGTGAGCCCAGATGGCACCACTGCACTCCAGCCTGGGCAACAAGAGTGAAACTGTCTAAAAAAAACAAAAACAAAAACAAAAACCATAAAACAAAATGTAAAAAGACACTTCCAGAGGATCTAGCAATTCCATGACTGGGTGTAAACCCAAAGGAAAGGACATCAGCGTATCGAAGTGACATCTGCACTCCCATGACTGTTCCAGCAGTGTTCACAGTAGCCAAGATGTGGATCAACCTACCTGCCCATCAGTGGGTGAATGGATGGAGAGAATGTGGTACACACACACAATAGGGACAACTCATCCATAGAAAGAGTAACATCCTGTCATTTACAGCCACATGAATGGAACTGGAGGTCATTACAAGTATTTCCATTTCTCACTCATATGCAGGAGCTAAAAGGTGGATCTCACAAAGGTAGAGAGTAGAATGGTGGCTACCAGAGGCCAGGAAGGGAAGGGTGGAGGGTAAAAAAAAAAGAATACTAATTAATTAATTAATTAATTTTGAGAGAGTGTCTCTCTCTGTTGCCCAGGCTGCAGTGCAGTGGCATGATCTCAGCTCACTGCAACCTCCGCCTCCTGCAATTAAGTGCAACTCCTGCCCAACCCTCCCAAGTAGCTGGGACTACAGGCATGTGCCACCATGCTCGGCTAATTATTATCATTATTATTATTATTTTGTATTTTTAGTACAGATGGATTTTCCCCATGTTGGCCAGGGTGGTCTTGAGCCCCTGATCTCAAATGATCCACCTGCCTTGGCCTCTCAAAGTGTTGGGATTACAACAGTGAGCCACCGTGCCCAGCCTATAAATGTATTTATGAACAGTAGACTTCACACTTAAAAATGGTAAAGGTGGTAAATTACATAGGTATATTTCACCTCAATAAATATTTCTTCAAACAAAAAGAAAAGGGTGTAGGCGTTGCTGGTGATGACATCTCTCTGTGGGTGACAGGCCAGGATGGGCTTCTGGGAAGTGGGTAAGGTTGAGGGGCTGAGAGAACCTCTGATCTCCCCAGGCAGAGCCCAGTCTCCCTCCTCTGGGTCTGTTCTGACCTCTTTCTCCATCTGCCTGGGTGCCTGGAACCCTGATCAAGGGCCTCCTTGCAGGCCATACAGGAGGGTTTGGAGGTGCCCTGTCTGCCATCCTGCCCCCTGACCCCGCCCTTACACCCATGCTGTGTGTTCTGTCTCGGCATCTGTCCATGCTTCTCTCCATCATCAGCAGGAAGCTCCTCAGCTATGGCTCTAGGATCACAAGACATGGGACAGGCATGGTGTTTTCTCACCTGTGACAGAAACGGGCAGTGGGTCACTCGGGTCTGACCACGCGTGGGGCAGGGCACGGAAAGAGCCGAAGCATCTGTAGTTCCCTCCGTGGGTCACAGGGCCCAGAGGGAAGTTGGCCTGGAATGTTCCATTGACCCTCAGCACCGCAGTGAGCCTAAGTTCACCGGCCTCTGCCTCCCTGGATAGATGGTAAATGTCAAACAAGCTCCGGGAGCTGCAGGACAAGGTCACATTCTCTCCTGCCTGAACCGTGGGGCCCGGCTGGGCTGAGAGAGAAGGTTTCCCATATAGACCTGGAAGGAGAAGAGGTGGTTTCCTCAGGGAGGTTCTTCGTTGTCACAGCTCTCCTCACACCTGAGCTGAGAACTCACTCCCCTGCTCTATGACTTAATGCTCTCTTTCTCTCTCTCACCCTCCACCCCCATCTCTCTTCATGTCTATTTCCTCCTTCCACCTTCTCTGTCTCTCTAGGTCTCTGACCTCACTTCTCCATCCCTAGCTATGTTTTCTTTTTTTGTACCATTTTATTCTCTCTGACCCTCCTTGGACTGGTTGACTTGATCTTCCTCTTTCTTTAATTCTGAGTCTCTCACTTTCTGTCTTGCTCATAACTTTCTGCATATTTCTATCTACTATCTATTGATCGATCTATCATTTATCTATGTATGTATCTATCATCTATCATCATCTGTGTATCTATGACCTATCTCTCTGTTATCTATCATCTATCAATCAATGTATGTATGTATGCATCTATCCATCTATCATCATGTGTTTATCTTTCTATCTCTCTATATCTATTTATATATCATCTGTCTGTCTTTCTACTTGTCTATCTATATCATCTATCAGTCATTCATCATCTATTTGTCTATCACCTGTCTCTCTATTATCTATCATCTACCTTTTATCTTTCATCTATCTATATCTATCTATCCATCTATCATCTGTCTCTCTCCATCTCCTTGTCTTTCTCTGCCTCTCAGTCTCTCTAGTTCCCTTTTGGAGTCTCTGCAATCCATCCCCACATCTTTATCTTTCCCTGTCTTTGTGCCCCTCCCTCAGGGCTCTGATTTTAGGGCTTTTCTCTGCTTCCTTCCATCATACGCTCCACTTCTCTGCCCTCTTTTTCTATCTCTTTATGTGTCTGTGAGTCTCTCAATTCCCTTCTTCTGGCTCATTCTGTGTGTGTGTTCATGTCTTTGCTTTTTGATTTCCCTGATTTCACTCCGTGTCTCTCTGTGGGCTTTTGTTCTCAGTAATCCTATAACATGTGGTGCTATTTGAATATGAGCCTCAGAATCCAGTATGGGGACTCCAGGAACTCACAACATACAGGGGTTGGTGTTCTGCTCCCTCACCTGGGGCCATGGTGTCCTGCGACGACGACAGCTCCACTGCACGGAAGGCAGAGGTTTAAGAATAAACACAGCATCTGTAGGTGCCACCAGCCTGGGGCCACACGGCCCAACTCAGGCCAGATAGATGTGTCTCTTTGGGTTCTCCTGGGAGAGAACACTTTGTAGAGGTAAAACAGAATGGAACCTTCTAACCTGTGCCTGGTCTCTGAACAAAGTCAGCATAGAAGGACACCTCTCTCTGGGATATATCTGTCTCTCTGTGTCTTCTTTACCTCTTTATCTCTTTTTCTAACACCTTGTATGGCCCCTGTGTCTGGCTTCTATGTTATGACATGAGGTCTGTACTTGTGTCTCCTGTTTCTCTGCCTTTGTTGGTACAGACCTCACCAAGTCACTTTCTCTCCATAGGAACCCCACACTCATCTTCCTCATGACCACCTGGGGCTTCCAGTCCTAGATCATTCACTCCATCTCCCAGCAAGGGTGAGAGGCAGGTCTGTATTCTCTCACCTACGACCACGATGTCCAGAGGGTCACTGGGAGCCGACAACTCATAGGGTAAGTGAGTGACAGAACCAAAGCATCTGTAGGTCCCTGCAAGGGCAGGTGTCATGGGACCCATGGAATAGTTGACCTGGGAACCCGCATCGTGGAGCTGTCCAATGAGGCGCAAGGGGTCCTCAGTGATCCCCTCTCTGTGCAGAAGGAAGCGCTCAAACCTGACATCTGACCAACATTGCAGGATGACCGTCTCTCCCGATTTCACCAGGGGACCTGGGTGGGCCAGGAGGGAAGGTTTTCTGTGGACTCCTAAGAAGAGAGGTTGTGAGTTCAGAAGGCGTCTCCCTTTCTCATCCCATTCATGGGACCTGAAATAAGTGAGGCTTCCCCTCCATGGTGTCTATCTCTCTCCTTCCTCTCTGTGTCTCCGTGTTCTTTTGTGCCCATAACCCCTGTTGCAGGTCCCTCCATCTGTCTCCCTCCCTCTTCCCTGTCTCTCTGTCTCTAGTAGCCCTGATTCCCTTCCCACTGTGCTCAGTGTCACCTCTTATGCTGTTGTATCTGTTTCCCACTAATCTCTTTCCTGGTGTTTATGTGGGGGTGGAAGAGGAACCACGACAGGCTGCATGTCCAGGCTCTTAGCAGCCTGAATCAATCTCTTTTGGACAGATTGGAAAGGCTGGCAGGAGGTACGAACTCATCAGTAAGGCAGGCATCAGTGTCCCTGTTCCTGATGGGGATTGGGAGCCTCTCCTGTCATGTCTGTGCCTTCTCCATGGCCCCAGCTTCCATAGGGTGGCCCCTGGTGCTGGTTCCAGGAGCATCAACCCCTCCCTATGTGGATCGAGCCTGGTGGTAGCATCAGTATCCCACCCATGCTAAAATCAGTGTAGCCAACCTTCTCCTTGTTTGGTTTCTTAACTTGTGCTTCACCTGGGTTCCTGTGTTGGTTTCCTGTTGCTGCTGGAGAAAATTGTCACAAACATGGGGCAGGAGAGAATACAATGACCTCTTCCACTTCTGGAGAACAGAAATCGGACCCAGTTCTCTCTGGGCTAAAATCAAGGCATCTGCAGGGCTGTGTTTCCTCTGGAGACTCAGGGAAGAATCAGTTCCCTTGACTTCTCCAGCCCTTAGAGGCCACCTGCCTTTGTGGCTCATGGCCTTCCCCCATCTTCAAAGCCCGCTGTGGCTGATGGAGTCTCCCTCCCACGACGTTGCTCTAACCCCACTTTCCTCTTCCTCCTCCTCTCATGAGGACCCTTGTGATTACTCTGAGCACAGCAGGACAGTCCAGGCTGTCTCCCCATCGCAAGGTCAACTCATCAACAACCTGAGCTCCATCTTCCTCTTCAGTCCCCTGCCCTATAACATAAATAGTCACAGGGTTCATGGATTACCATGTAGCCATCACTGGGGACAATTATTCTTCCCACCACAGCAACTATTTCTCTGTACTGAATCCCCCTTTACCCCAAATACAGTCGGGGCCTGGATGATTGGACCCTGATGGACGCCCCCACCAGAAGCTCTGGGATTCAGGAGGTGGGACAGTGAGAAGCCCAGACAGAAAGCCTCTGACCTGTGACCATGATCACCACAGGGTTGCTGGGTGCCGACCACCCAGTGGGGGAGTGTGGGTGTGAACTGCAACATCTGTAGGTCCCTGCATGTGCTGGGGTCACAGGGCCCATGAGAAAGCTGTTCCGGAATATTCTGTTGTAGAGCTCAGGGACAGGCATCCCGTCTTCTTTGGACAGACTGAATTCATTAAACCCAAGACGAGAGCGACACTGAAGAGTCACATGTTGTCCTTCAGACACCACAGTGCCGGGCCAGGCAGAGAGGAAGGGCTTGTCCTGACCACCTGGGGGAGAAGGAGGCACCACCTTAGAGAGGAGGATGTGGAGCCGCCCCTCCCTCCCTGTGCTCAGAAGATTCTCCCATTTCCACGTTTCTAAGGCTCCTACCACACCTGGGTGCCCAGGGCTACAGGAAGGACCCATCCCGCATAGACATGGCGTCTCCCTACAGCAAGTGTCAGCTGAGAACTTTGAGCAGGTGCTGAAGAAGCGACTCTTACTAGATTTTAACACTGCAAAATTACTTACATAAAAGAACACAAGGTAGACACAGGATGGAGGGCATGATCAGCTAATGCATGAACCATAATAAACAACTGAGCCCCTATTAGAAGATCTGGAATGTCAGGGTCATGACTGTGGTTCCCCCACCTCTTAGGTAGAATGACAGCAGCCACATTGCAGCCCCTACCGTCATGGAAACGCTGGAGGGTGTGAGTTATGCTCTTGTCCTCAGAGGCCTGTTGTTCCTTGCACTGCTTCTCTCCCTTCCTCTGCCGGTGACACCACTTCCTCCCTGCACACCACTCCTTTGAGCACTTCAGTCTCCCCCTGGGTCCCCACAGACTCAGCCAAGGGAAAGAAAGGCCGGGGAGGGCTAGGACAGAACTGTGGCGAAGCTTCCCCTGGCTTCCTTTTCCTAGTTCATGAGAGATTCCCACATGGCTTCCCATGGTCAGCCCATCAGTCAACCCCCTGTGTCGCCTGCCTCCCGTTTCAGGAGCATCATCTTATGTGGGGAGATGACAACCTAAGGTTTGGGGGAAGGACTCACCCACATGTGGCCAGGGCCCCTCCAGCAAGAAGAACCCTGGAAAGAAAGATCATGATGGATGATCCATCTGTACATCACCTCCAGGCCCATATCTCCACTCCAGGCCCATATCTCCACCTCTAGGCCCATATCTCCACTCCAGGCCTATATCTCCACCTCCGTCCTATATCTCTACTCCAGGCCCATATCTCCACTCCAGGCCTATATCTCCACCTCCGTCCTATATCTCTACTCCAGGCCCATATCTACACTCCAGGCCCATATCTCCACCTCCAGGCCTGTATCTCCACCTCCAGGCCCGTGTCTCCATTCCAGGCCCATATCTGCACTCCAAGCCAACATCTCCACTCCAGGCCCGTATCTCTACTCCAGGCCCATATCTACAGTTCCAGGCCCATATCTCCACCTCCAGGCCCATATCTCCACTCTAGGCCCATATCTCCACCTCCAGGCCCGTATCTCAATTCCAGGTCCATATCTGCACTCCAAGCCAATATCTCCACTCCAGGCCCATATCTACAGTTCCAGGCCCATATCTCTACTCCAGGCCCATATCTCTACTTCAGGCCCATATCTACAGTTCCAGGCCCATATCTCCACTCCAGGCCCATATCTCCACCCCAGGCCCATATCTCCACTCCAGGCCTATATCTCCACTCCAGGCCCATATCTCCACTCCAGGCCCAGATCTCCACTCCAGGCCCAGATCTCCACCCCAGCGCTCCCTCCCTCGATTCCCTTCCAGGACTCACCAACACACGCCATGCTGACGACCATGAGCGACATGGTGCTGCCGGTGCAGACAGGCGGCTGCGCCCCAGCTCAGTTCAGCAGCACACAGGATGTTGTGAGGGGCTCATGCAGTTTACATGCTGACCACATCATGGGAGGATGACGTATGCAGGCTATTTCTACCTTGCATGAGGCCCAGTGGCTGTTTGGTCAAGAGCGGAACATGGCTTCCTGGAAATTGTTCCAACTAGAATTGACACCTTGCATCCTTCACTATAACCAACTCAAAACACGTCTCAGATCCAATCTCTCATACAGGAGATGACTGAATGCTTGGCTTACATTAAAGACTTTTGATGTATTTTTGTTGTTTTTATCTGAGATTCAAACTCTTCTTCATGTGCTATTTTCCCCAGGCTGTTCTTTGACTTCAGAGTTCAAGCAATCCTCCTGCCCCAGCATTTCTAGCAGCTGGCAGTATGTCACAATCTGCCACACCCAAGTCACAACTTTTAGAACTTTTTTTTTTTTTGAGACGCAATCTCACTTCGTCACCCAGTTTGGAATGCAGTGGTGAGACCTCGGCTCATTGCAGCCTCCACCTCCCAGGTTCACGCAATTCTCGTGCCTCAGCCTCCTAAGTAGCTGGATTTACAGGCACCCACCATCACGCCCACCTAATTTTTGTACTTTTAGTAGAGAGGAGGTTTCTCCATGTTGGCCAGGCTGGTCTTGAACTCCTAACCTCAAGTGATCTGTCTACTTCAGCCTCCCAAAGTGCTGAGATTACAGGTGTGAGCCACCATGCCTGGCCGGGACATTCTATATGTGTGCGTATGTGTGCGTTTATATACATATGGTTATACACACACACACACACACACACCCTAAGCACTCACATATATAGTTGTTTCAAATTTTAAAAAATATAAATTTTGTATTTTTCTTTCTTTTTCTCACATTTGTGTTTCTATGACACCATATACATATTGAATTTTATAGTTCTATTTTATTCTTTTGGATTGCAGTTTAATAGTCCATACATAACTTTATCAACATGTAATTATCCACTCTTTTTATCATGGACATTTGTGTTGTTTCCGGATTTTCTCTTTTATAACTCGGGCCTTGATAATCGTGTTTCTGTGTGATCCCTTGCATACATATGCTGAATTAATTAGACATATTTACCTAGGAATGAAATTATTGGTTTTGGGTGCAAGTTGGTGTTGAGCTTAACCAGGAAGTGCCAAAATATTTCCATCATGACCAAATGTGGCCTGGAAAGTTTTTTGGGGTCAATTTTCCTGTTTCTTCTAAGGAACAAAATTGATGTCACTGATTTTTCTGTCCTGTTTGTCATTTATGAATATACGTACATATGCACGTATATATTTGCTTGCCATTTTATGTTTTTCCTCGACGTTACTTTGGAATTAATTTGCTGATGTGTAGTATTTCTGCAAGCGAAAGTTACCTATTTACTCAGCTCTTCCTTCTTTTCTAACACAGACATTTGAGGCTTATTTTCCTTTAACACTGTTCTATCTGTATCCCCAGTCATTTGCCGAGATGTGTTTTCATTTTTAATTGATACAAAATATTTTCCACCTTTCTTTGAAATGTTTTTCTTCCACTCATTGTTTATTGCTATGTGTGTTTATTAATTTTAAAATATTTGATAATTTCCCCAGCATTTCCTTGTTGTACATTTATAATTTAATTCAACTGTTTCATCTATCATATTACCTATGATTCAGCATTTAAAAATTTATTTTGGTGAATGTTCCAGGGGTGCTAGACAAGTTTGTGGATTAGGAAGATTTGAGGTGGATGTTTTCTAAATGTCAGTTAAGAAAAAAATCATTCAAATGTTTTTCTTTATTTAAAAAAAATAGAGACGGGGTCTCACTATGGTGCCCAGGCTGGTCTCAAACTCCTGGCCTCAAGTGATCCTCCCATTTTGGCCTCCCAAAGTGCTAGGATTATTGAAATTATTAAATGTTTCATATCAACACCCAACCTTATGCACCCGCCGCCTACACAAATGTTTTTCAAGTCTTTCATATGCTTAATAATTTTCTGTGTACTTGTTCTGGAAGTGAGGTGAATGTTGCTATCTCTAGCTGCAATTTGGATGTGATTGATTATGTTTTGAATTATGCCTTTAATTTAATGTGTTTTGAGGTTCCAGCTTTAGGTGTGTAGGCATTTAGGATTATTATGTCTTATTTATGAATTTGCCTCTTTGTCATTATGAAGTACTCCTCTTCATATCTCCATATATCTCTTCTTTGTATGTGCATGGTGAAATATTTCATTCTTTGAGTTAAGAAACTTCTATTGAGGAATACTTTTTATTACAAACATTTACCTATTCTATGTATACAACTGACTAGAAGCATATTTTGCACTGGGCATTATCATGACAATGTAATGTCATTCTTTCAATATTTACATCTTGTGGATTAGTATTTGAAGTGCAGCTTATGTAGACAGCATAAGGTTGGGTGTTGATATGAAACATTTAATAATTGCACACGTATTTGCCTCTTGGGATACTTCCACTTTTTTGAATTTCAAGTTACTAAATGGTATCATTAATCTTTGCTTCAAGAGCTTAACATTTATTGTAGAACAATGCTTCATGTAATAAATTGTGAGACATTTTTAATGGCACCTTTATTGCAGGAAAATGTTTTCCTTTTCAGGTTGAAAGATTCTAGTTTGAAATATTTTCTTGTAGCACTTTAAAAATGTTGGTCCA
The DNA here is from genome assembly GCF_000001405.40 of Homo sapiens. Taxonomy (NCBI): domain Eukaryota; kingdom Metazoa; phylum Chordata; class Mammalia; order Primates; family Hominidae; genus Homo; species Homo sapiens. The sequence goes on along the minus strand of NW_016107313.1, from coordinate 23,407 downwards.
CCTATTTCTTACTTTCATAGTTTTGAATACAAAGTTTGCTGTCATTCTTGTATTTCTTCTTCTGTTTTTTATTTATTTATTTTTGACAGAATATCTTGCCGTCTCACCCAGGCTGGAGTGCAGTGGCATGATCTTGGCTCACTGCAACCTCTGCCTTCCAGGTTTCAGCAATTCCTGCCTCAGCCTCCTGAGTAGCTGGGACTACAGGCATGCGCCACCATACCCAGCCAATTTTTTTTTTTGTATTTTTTTTTTGTAGAGATGAAGTTTTGCCATATTGGCCAGAACTCCTGACCTCAAATGATCCACCTGCTTTGGCCTCCCAAAGTGCTGGGATTACAGGTGTGAGCCACTGTGCTCAGGCTATTTATTCCTTTTTATATAATATGAATTCACATTCATACATACCAGGGGTTAGGATTTCAACAAACGTTTCTGGGGGAGACCACTCAAAACACAGCACTCATCCTTGGTTATTTCCAGCCATGGAGCCTGTATCAATATCCTGGTGAATTATCTAAGCTGTCCACCTACCTACCCCAAATCCTCATGGTCACATAAAAGGCTAGTATAGTATAATAATTTTTCTTTCCCTGCTTATCTACAGTGATGAAGAAACGAATATTCAAAGGGAAAAATCTTAGCTTTAGGTATAGGGTAATTCTTCTTCCTATTTTTAAATAACTTCAACCTTTACTGTAGATTAAAGGTATGCATGCAGGTTTGTTACATAGGCATATTGTGTGACTCTGAGGTTTGTGGTTCCAACAATGCCATCACCCAGGCAATGAGCATAGAATCCAACAGGTGTTTCTTCAGCCTATACCTCCCTACTCCTCCCCCCATCTGTAGTCCTCGGTATCTGTTGTTTCCATCTTTATGTTCATGTGTATTCAATGTTTGGTTCTCAGTTATAAGTGATAACATGTGGTATTTGGTTTTCTGTTCCTGGGTTAGTTCACTTAGGAGATTGACCTCCTGCTACATTCATGTTGCTGCAAAGGACATGATTTCATTATTTTTTATGGCCATGTAATGTTCCATGTGTATATGTAGCACATTTTCTTTAACTAATCCACTGTTGGTGAGCACTTAGGTTGACTGCAAATCTTTGCTATTCTGAATTGCACAGCAATGAATATACTAGTGCATGTGTCTTTTTGACATAGTTAATTACCTTCCTTTTGGTATATACCCAGTAGTGGGATTGCTTGATTGAATAGTAGTTCTATTTTAAGTTATTTGAGAAGTCTCCAAACTGCTTATCACATTGGCTGAACTAGTTAACATTCCCACCAAGAGTGTATAAGTGTTCCCTTTTCTCCACAATCTTGTCAGCATCTGTTATTAAAAAAAACAAAAAACTTTTTAGTAATTGCTTCTGCTTCTCTGATTGTTGTGAGATGGTATCTCACTGTGGTTTTAATTTGCATTTCTCTGATGATTACTGATAATAAGCATTTGTTCATATGTTTTTTGGCCATGTGTACATCTTCTTTTGAGAAGTGTCTGTTCATGTCATACTTAATTGAGGTTTTTTGGTTTTCTGCTTGTTGATTTGTTTACATTCCTTATAGATTCTGGATATTAGAACTTTGTCAGATGCATAGTTTGCAAATATTTTCTCCCAGTCTGTAGGTTATCTGTTTACTCTGTTGATACTTTCGTTTGCTGTGCAGAAGCTCTTCAGTTGAGTTAGGTCCCAATTTCTGTCTTTGTCACAATTGGTTTTGGGGAGTTAGCCATAAATTCTTTGCCAAAGTCTATCTTGAGAAGGATATTTCCTAGGTTTTCTTCTAGAATTTTAATATTTTGAGGTTTTACATTTAAATCTTTAAACTATCTTGGGTTAATTTTTGTATATAGTGAGAGTTAGGGGTCCAGTTCTATTATTTTGCATATGAGTAGTCAGTTATCCCAGAACTATTTATTGAAGAAAGGGTACTTTCCACATTGCTTGTTTTTGTCAATTTTTTCAAAGATGATTGTAGGTATGTAGCCTCATTTCTGGGTTCTCTATTCTGTCTCATTGGTCTATGTGTCTGTTTTTGTAGTAGTATCATGCTGTTTGGGTTACTATAGCATTGTAGTATAGTTTGAAGTTGGGTAATGTGATGCCTGGGCTTTGTTCTTTGTGCTTAGGATTCCTATGTGTATTCAGGCTCTTTTTTTGGTGCCAAATACATTTTAGAATAAATTTTTATAATTTCGTGAAAAATGACATTGCATTTTGAAATGGATAGCATTGAGTCTGCAATTTGTTTTTGGAAGTATGGCGATTTTAACTATTTGTTCTCCTAATTCATGAGCATGGAATATTCTTCCATTTGTTTGTATCATTTCTTATTTCTTTCAGAAGTGTTTTGTAGTTCTCCTTGTAGAGAATTTTCACCTTCTTGGTTAGATGGATTCCTAGGTATTTTATTTTCTTTGTGGCTAGTGTAAATGGAATTGTGTTCTTGATTTAGTTCTCAGCTAGAATGTTAGTGGTGCATAGAAATGTTACTAATTTGTGTACATTTTTTTAATCCCGAAACTTTATTGAATTTGTTTATCAGTTTCAGGAGCCTTCTGACAGAGTCTTTAGGGTTTTCTATGTATAAAATTATTTCATCAGCAAAGAGAGACAGTATCACTACTTCTTTTCCAATTTTAATGCCTTTTATTTCCTTCTCTTGCCTGATTGCTTTGGCTAGGACTTCCAGTACCATGTTGAATTAAAATGGCGGGAGTGGTCATCCTGGTCTTGTTTCGGTTCTCAAGGGGTATGGTTCCAGCTTTTGCCCATCAATATGATGTTGGCTGTGGGTTTGTCATAGATGGCTCTTAATATTTTGAGGTATGTTCCTTTGATGCCTATTGACAGTTTTTATCATGAAGGGATGTTGGATTTTACAGAAAGCTTTTTCTGCATCTATTGAGATGATCATATAGTTTTTGTTTTTAATTATGTTTATGAGGTGAATCACATTCGTTGACTTTGTAGGTTGAACCAACCTTGCATCCCAAAAATAAAGCTTACTTGATCATGTGAATTAACTTTTGATGCACTGACAGATTCAATTTGCTAGCATTTTGTTGAGGATTTTATGTCTATGTTCATTAAGGATATTTAGTTGTAGTTTTCTTTTTTTCATTATGTCTCTGACAGATGTTGGTATCATGGTGATGATGGCTTCATAGAATGAGTTAGGAAGAAGCCCCCACTCCTTGATTTTTTCCAAAAGTTTCAGTAAGATCGGTATCAGTTCTTCTTTGTATGGCTGTTGGATTTTGGCTGTGAATCCATCTGGTCCTGGGCTATTTTTAGTTAGTAGGGTTTTTATTACTGATTAAATTTCTGAACTTGTTATTGGTCTGTTCAGGTTTTCACTTTCTTCCTGGTTGAAATATGATAAATTTTGTGTTACCAGGAATTTATCCATTTCTTCTAGGTTTTCTAGCTTGTTTGTATAGAGGTGTTCATAATAGTCTTTGACGATCTTTTCTATTTCTGTGGGATTGTTCGTAACATTGTTTTGTCAGTTCTATTTGTGTTTATTTGGATCTTTTCTCTTTTTCTTTGTTAATCTAGCTAACAGTCTATGAATTTTGTTTATTTTTTTTCAAAGAAAAACTCTTGGTTTTATTTATCTCTTGTATGGACTTTTTGGTCTCAATTTATTCAGTTCTCTCTGACTTTAGTTATTTCTCATCTTTTGCTGGCCTTGGGTTTGGACTGTTCCTTTTTTTTAATAGTTCCTCTAGATGCAGTGTTAAGTCACTAATTTGAGATCTTTCTAAACTTCTGATGAGGCATGTATTGCTATAAATTTTCCTCTTATCACTGCTTTAACTGCATCCCAAAGGTTTTGGTAAGTTTGTTTCTATTTTTATTAATTTTAAATAATGTTTTGTGATTTCTGCTTTAATTTCATTGTTCACCCAAGAGTTCTCAAGGGGTACAGTTCCAGCTTTTGACCATTCAATATGATGTTGGCTGTGGATTTGTCATAGATGGCTCTTAATATTCATTCAGAAACAAGTTGTTAAATTTCCATGTTTTTCTGTAGTTTTGAGAGATCATCTTGGTATTTTTTTCTATTTTTATTGTGTGCCTTGTTATGATTTTGATTCTTTGAATTTATTGAGACTTGCTTTGTGGCCAGTCTTAGAATATGATATGTTTTTTGTGTGTGCAGATAAGAAGAATCTATATTCTGCAGTTGTTGGGTGGAGTACTCTGTAGATGTCTATGAGGTCCAATTGGTCAAGTGTTGTCTTTAAGACCAGAATTTCTTTGTTAGTTTTCTGTTTTAGTGATTCATCTGACGTTGTTAGTGGGATACTGAAGTCCCTTACTATTATTGTGTGGCTGTCTAACTCTTTTCATAGGTGAAGAATAACTTGTTTTATGAATCGGGGTGCTCCAAATTTGGGTGCATATATATTTAGAATAGTTAAGTCTTCTGTCAAATTGAACCCTTTATCATTTTGTAATGCCCTTCTTTGTCCTTCCTGATTGCTGTTGATTTAAAGTGTGTTTCATGTGATATAAGAATAGGAATGCCTTCCTTTTTTTTGTTTCCTGGTTGCCTAGTAAATATTTCTTCATCCTTTTACTTTGAGCCTGTGGGTGTCATTACATGTGAGATGGGTCTCTTGAAGACAGCAGGCAGTTGGCTCTTGGCTTTTTATCCACGTTGCCACTCTATGCCTTTTATGTGGGGAATTTAGGCCATTTACATTTCTTCTCCTGATATATCCTTTTTATATTTTTATGATTGCCTTTTAAAATATATTGAATGGTTGTAATTCCAGGGAAATGTCTTTCAGAACAGTATTTATTCCCATCTACATGTTTTGGAGAGTGCACTAGGGGACATTGAAGTTTATTTCCTGAAAAGAGTTTAATTTTAAAATGTATTTTATTTAATAACTCAATGATTCAGGGAATGTCTAGGTATTTCAGAGATTGTTTTAGACAGTTTGTTTTCTTGTGATATGTGACCACTTCATCTAAGCTGAATAATGTCTTCATAATGTCCACTTAGAATCTTTTGAATTCTGTAGGATCTGTACTGATGTCATTGTTTCCTTTCTGATATTGGTAATTTTCCTGGGGTAGGATTCTTAGCTCCTCCTGAGGTCCTGCCTCTAAAATTCAGGGAACAATGAGTCAGATTAGTACTCTGATTTCAAAGGGAAAGCTGATCATCTACCATTTTTTGTTTATGTAAATGGACACATTAACATCCCTTGTCTGAACCTTAGTTACCTTGTTTGGAGCATTTTGCTATAAATCTCACTTCTCAGAGTGGTTGTGGGGCTTGATGTGGCTGGGGTATGGGATGGCTTAAACATAATTTATTTCCAGACCAGGTTAAGGCATGAAGGGGTTGGGACTTGTTAGAATCCTGTTGTCGGACTCCACAGTAAGGGTAGACATTTGAGGCACCCAATCAAAAACCTCAGTTGTTCCTAGCACTGAGAAATTTGATAGAATGTTTCTAAAACATTATTCATGGTCTAATGCACAAAAAGTAAAGTGATAGCCCTGGAAGTAGACAGGGAACCATAAGAAAAAAGAGAGAGCAAAGCTCAGTGGTCACCAGTGCCTGGGACCATCAAGGGGTTATTAAGGAGGAAGTTTCCACCTCTGTGGGGAACAGAAGAGGCTCCCTAGGGTCCACACACACAGGGAGTGAGCCAAGACTCTGGGCGAGGCTGGAAGCTCTGGGTCTCCTTCTGTGAGATTTTCTTTTTTTTTTTTGAGATGGAGTCTTGCTCTGCCACCCAGGCTAGAGTGCAACGGCGCGATCTCGGCTCATGGCAACCTCTGCATAAAGTGGTATGTATTTAAGGCATGCATTAGACAAATTACTAAGTATTTACTAGATAAGAAAAAATTATATCTGAATCTTTTCAAATTGCCGTCTTATGCATTATATTCTCTTTTTATAGTGCAATTTCTTAATAGTTAATGCCAGAAGATTTTTTTTTCTTCCTTTCTTTCTTTCTTTTTTTTTTTTTTTTGAGACAGAGTCTCACTCTGTTGCCAGGCTGGAGTGCAGTGGCACGATCTCGGCTCACTGCAACCTCCGTCTCTCGGGTTCATGCCATTCTCCCGCCTCAGCCTCCTGAGAAGCTGGGACTACAGGCACCCTCTACCATGCCCAGCTATTTTTTTTTTTTTTTTTGTATTTTTAGTAGAGACGGGGTTTCACCATGTTCGCCAGGATGATCTCTGTCTCTTGAACTCGTGATCCACCTGCCTTGGCTTCCCAAAGTGCTGGGATTACAGGCATGAGCCACTGCACCTGGTCGCCAAAAGATATTTTTAAAAACCTAAATGCCACTTGAAATGAATAAGACCCTCAATAATTCATGGGATATACATGTGAACTTATGACATATGATGAAATAAGCAGGTTACAAAATTGTAATATATCAAGCAAGGTAGAAAGCCATGGCAGAAAAAGAGACAAGCATTTTCAAGATAAGGAATGAAAGAGGGGAAACAGTACTATTGATTTTACAGATTTTACAAAGATATCTTAGGTGTGTTTTCCTAAATAATAAATGTACCCTCCTTTTGACCTTTATGTAATGAAATAACCATGCACACATTTTCAAATAATACTTCATTTACTTGACTTTATGCTTGAAAATTGAAGTATGGTGCTGTTTGTTATTTTCATTTATGCATTTTACTACCTTGTAATATTCCACTGAGTCTATTTACCACACTATGTTTATTTTTTTCGTAGGTGGACTTTGGTATTTTATAGCTTTGGCTAATAGGAACAGCATTCCTATAACAGTTGTGAGTGTATCATGACACATAAGTAGACATTTATCTCTAGGGTACATAATTAAGTACATAATTAAGAAGGGTCACAGCCATGTGCCTCCTCTTTTTAACTAGATAATTCCAATACACTTCCTTAATTGATTAAAGCAATTTGTACTCTTACTATTAATGTACTAAAATTCTACATGTTCAATATTCTTTCCAAAAAATGATTTTGCTACTTTTTTCTTTTCTTGAGACTGAGTCTTGCTCTATCACCCAGGCTGTAGTGATCTCGGCTCACTGCAACCTCCGCCTCCTGGGTTCATGCGATTCTCGTGCCTTGGCCTCCCAAGTAGCTGGGATTACAGGCAGGCGCCACCATGTCTGGCTAATTTTTGTATTTTTAGTAGAGACAGCGTTTCACCATGTTGGCCAGGCTGGTCTCGAACTCCTGACCTCAGGTGATCCTCCTGCCTCGGCCTCCCAAAGTGTTGGGATTACAGGCATGAGCCACCACACCCGGCCTATTTTTTTCTTTTCCCTCCATTGTGCTATGATTTTTGACATTACAATTTTACTGAAACTACACCATAAGAATGAAGCAGAAATTATTATAACCTTTAAATAAACTTTACAACTGGTTCATACTCGTGTGAACGACAATTCTTTTGACTACTTCCCAACTGTGCATTCAATGGCGTCATATGGGCACCCTGAAGTTGGCCATAAAGGACGTATTTATACCACACTAATCAGCAAATACCATAAATCTGGGGCTTTATATGTTCAGAGTTTTCTTAAGAAAATAATTTTTTCAGAGAGCCAGTTTAACAGAATACCATGAGGCTGAGCCTTCGAGCGTTAGTGTGCTCATTCTGAGAGATGATATTTCTGGACAAAGTACACAGGTATCATCCGATGAAGAGTGAAGGGAATTCAGGGTCCAGAGAGGGTGCTAGGGCATCATTTCAGACTCATATTTCCCTTTTTTTTTTTTTTTTTGGAGATGGAGTCTTGCTCTGTTGCCCAGGCTGGAGTGCAGTGGCAAGATCTTGGCTCACTGCAACCTCCGCCTCCCGGGTTCAAGCTATTCTCCCGCCTCAGCTTCCTGAGCAGCTGGGATTACAGGTGCTCACTGCCACACCCAGCTAATTTTTGTATCTTTTAGTAGAGACAGGGTTTCACCATGTTGGCCAGGTTGGTCTCGAACTTCTGACCTCAAGTGATCCGCCCACCTCAGCCTCCCAAAGTGCTGGGATTACAGGTGTGAGCCACTGTGCCTGGCCTCAGACTCATGTTTCAAAGTCCCAAATACAAATCTGCCCACCTATTCCAGTTATTTAATCCAGATCTATGCTCAGAACTGAAAAGATGGAGAATCAATAGTTCACTTTAGAGAATGCGGTAGTTGGAAACAAAGACAAATGTATTACATGACAGTGGACCAGAGCACGTGATCGCAGGGGTGTGGATGCAAACCCACCATGGGGGACGTGCCTTCACATCACAGAGAGCGAAAGGAAGGGAGGGGCAGACACGGAGGATCCACAACAGCAGGACTGAAAGCACTGCCATTTAATGGAAGTTTAATGGAGGAAGCGTTCTCTACAGGCACCCAGACATCTTCCTGAACCTGACCCAAGCCTCCCCTTCTCGACTTTCTCAGTAGACGGTTTCCCGAATGATGGTCCAGACTTTCTTCCAGAACCTCCTAGGACTATCAGATTCATTGCCAAGGCTCTGGCACTCTGAAGGGTGCATTGTTCTCTCATGTATTTACCTCCTTGCTGCATCTTGGGGACTTCTCTAGCTGTGCCAGTCCTAAAGCAGCAGAATCCCGAGGACCACCAGGACCAAGCCAGCCACAGCCACGCGGATGAGATTCTCCACTGTGTAATCCTGGGGGTGTGAGGCTGGGGATGGTGGACCAAGAGGTCTCAGAGGTCAGGGCAGATCAACATCACCCGGGACCCCTGGATGTCCACCCAGGGCACCCACCTCCCCTTCACAGGACCTGACCCTCTGTGCCAGCCCCATAACCGAGAGCATCTCCTTACACACCAGTCTTGGAGTCTGTCTTGTTTTGCGATGGGCTGAGGGTCTCAGCTGCTCCTGAGAATCAACCAAAAAAGGGGGAGGTGTGTGAGGAGTTGAAGAGACTTAAGCCAACATGTCCCTCAGTTGCTGCATTCCTTTGTGTCTACACTTCTCCTAACTGCTCTGTAGTTGTGTGATAGAACCTTTCCCTGCCGTGGCAGAGGTACATTCGCATACATACATACATATATGCATAGGTGTAAATATGTGTGTATACATAATATGTGTTATGCATATGTGTATACATAATATGTATTATGCATATGTGTATAGATAATATGTATTATGCATATGTGTATGCATAATATGTATTATAAGATATAGTGTGAGTATATATAAATATATAATATATAAGATATATAATAGTGTGTGTATACATATAAATATATAATAAGATATGTAATAGTGTGTGCATATATAAATATATAATATATAATAAGATATATAATAGTGTGTATATATAAATATATAATACATAATATATTATAAGATATATAATAGTATGTATATATAAATATATAATACATAATATATAAGATATATAATAGTGTGTGTATATATAAATATATAATACATTATATATTATAAGATATATAATAGTATATATAAATATATAGTACATAATATATAATAAGATATATAATAGTGTGTGTATACATATAAATATATAATAAGATATGTAATAGTGTGTGCATATATAAATATATAATATATAATAAGATATATAATAGTGTATATATATAAATATATAATACATAATATATTATAAGATATATAATAGTATGTATATATAAATATATAATACATAATATATAAGATATATAATAGTGTGTGTATATATAAATATATAATACATTATATATTATAAGATATATAATAGTATATATAAATATATAGTACATAATATATAATAAGATATATAATAGTGTGTGTATACATATAAATATATAATAAGATATGTAATAGTGTGTGCATATATAAATATATAATATATAATAAGATATATAATAGTGTATATATATAAATATATAATACATAATATATTATAAGATATATAATAGTATGTATATATAAATATATAATACATAATATATAAGATATATAATAGTGTGTGTATATATAAATATATAATACATTATATATTATAAGATATATAATAGTATATATAAATATATAATACATAATATATAATAAGATATATAATAGTGTGTGTATATATAAATATATAATACATAATATATATTATAAGATATAATAATGTGTGGGTAATATAAATATATAATACATAATATATAAGATATATAATAGTGCATATATAAATATATAATACATAATATATATTATAAGATATAATAATGTGTGGGTATATATAAATATATAATACATAATATATATTATAAGATATAATAATGTGTGGGTATATATAAATATATAATACATAATATATAAGATATATAATAGTGTATATATAAATATATAATACATAATATATATTATAAGATATATAATAGTGTGTGAGTATATATAAACACATACATATATATTTGAAGTGAGAAGAGTATTATATAATTTAGAAACAAACAAGTTTGTCCTCCATTTTCTTGTGGTTAATGTAATTATTATCAATAAATCAGAAGAGATCATTTCGGAAAGGATTGAAAGGGAGTGTGTCTGTGGTAAGTTAATAGGAACTAAAATTAGCATACCCAAACCAATAGCTTTCTCATCCATACGTAACTAATTTTAGAAAATAGAAAGGAATCAAAGACTTTCAAATTATTCAAGTAGTAAAACAATGCTTAAAATTCACAATGTCCACAATTTTTATGAATACAACTTCAAGCATCTGCTAACTGTATAAAGTTTAATTTTAAATGTATTGGATACAAAGACATTATTAATGAGAAGTTATTCTCCATCATGAATGCACATATTTAATTTAATCCCAAAGAAAATCAGAGCACAGTTATTTTACATCATAACGCTACCTAACAAATTAAATGTGTAAATTATAAATGCCAGCATTGCTTTGAAATCTTCAGAAACAGAAAGAGAAACTAGATATGTGGACATAAAAAATAAAGGACAGAAAGGAATTGCACACGAGGTTTGCTGTTGAATAATTTGCCTGCATTGCTGCAGTGAGCAGGTGCATGATCTCCCCTTCGTCTCAGGTATGCACTGAGTATTTTGGGGCCGCCAGGGGAGCCCAGGTGGGGAGTGGGTGGGGCCTCCATCTTCTACCCTCAGCCTAAGCATGATTCCTCCAAGGTTTCTCCATATCTCATTTCAGCCCTCCCTGGCCTTTAGCCCCATCTGAGGTCTCTGGGGTGGGAGCCCAGGATTAGGAGGTCCCTGACTATTTCCACCCTCTCATGGGCTGGGCCCTCCCCTGCCGACCCTCCCCCTTTACTCCCCTCTTTCCTTAGCGTCCTGAGCTCTCCTGGGGGCAGGGCCTGAGCTGAGGTTTGAGCTCAGAGAGGACAGGGTCAGCGGCCTCACCTGAGACCACGAGCTCCAGGGGGTCACTGGGGTGAGACAGCAGGTAGGGGAAGAATCTGCGTGAGCTGTAGCACCTGTAGGTCCCCGCGTGGGCTGAGGTCACAGGACTCATGGGGAATTCAGCCTGGTGCTGCTGAGCTTGGTGCTCTGATCTCAGACGCAGTGGGTGATGGGCTGCCCCCTCCTTGGTCAGAAGGAAAGTGTCCAACTGCTCCCGTGACTGACACAGCAGGGTCACGTTCTCTCCTGAGGCCACCGTGGGGCCCGGCTGCACCGAGAGGGAGGGTCTGCCACGGATCTGTCCTGGAGAGAAGAAGGATGGGTGAGGGGCTGCCCCACCTCGTTCTGAGCTGACACCTCCCCAGGCCTCTCCCTGGGACCCTCAGTGTCTCTGTCTCTGTTTTCTCTGAGTCTCCCCCTCCCCGCCCATCCCCTGTCTCTGTCTGTCTCTCCGTCCCTTAGGACCCCCACCCCTCATCCCGGCCATCACCACCTGGGCTCCCCCAGCAGGGCCTGTGCGGAGCCTGGGTCCCTGACTGAACCTGCTGGGCTCCTCACCTGCGATCAGGATGCTCAGGGGGTCACTGGGGGCCGACCACTCGGAGGAGAGGTTGTGTGCACCGTAGCATCTGTACTGGCCCCCGTGGGAGACCCTCACAGGGCCCAGGGTGAAGTTGGCCTGGGAGAGCCCAGCCTGGGGCTGCCGGCCAGAGCCCTGGACGAGGTCATGTCCCCCCTCCTTGTACAGAGTGAATTTGTCATAGCCGACATCAGAGCCACACTGGAGGGTCAGATTCTCCCCAGGGGCCACGACAGGGCCCTGCAGGGTCAGGAGGGAGGGCTTCCTAGACACGCCTGGAGGGAAAGAAGAGTCGGGACTAGGAGGGCTGGTTCCTCCCACACCCCTTCCTTCTCCCCTCCTGGCCCTGCAGGTCTCACTGTCTCTCACACTCAGTGTCTCTGGGCTCAGGAGTCCCAAACTTCCCTTGTTCCACCCTCCTACATGGGGCTCCGTGAGAGTAAGTTCTCAAAAATAAATAGGGCAAGGAGGAAGACATCCATACCTAAGACCAGGATCTCCATGGTATCACTGGGTTCCGACCACACCCAGGGGAAGTTCGTGTAATGCCCATAGCATCTGAACATCCACCGGTGACTGGCAGCCACACGGCCCACAGGGAACAGGGCCAGGGACAAGGGACAGCCCCTTGGAGAGTTCCTGTGAGTCCAGCATCCAGGAGAGCTTGTTTTCTCCTTCCTCAATCAAAATGAACCTGTGAAATCCCACCCTTGAGCTACACTGGATGGTCACGTTCTCTCCTGAGGTCACCACAGGGCTCGGCAGGGCTGAGAGAGTGGGTTTTCTGTGGGCTCCTAGGAGAGAAGGAGACACTGTCTTAAATGGGGCTCACGCGTCCCACATCATCCCCCAGGGCTGAGTTATTAGAACGGAGATGCCCTTGAGAGCTGACCCCCTTCCTGCAGGCAGAGCCTGGGGCTGGGACCCCTGAGTGTCCTCTTACCTGTCACCACCAGCTCCAGGGGCTCGCTGCGCTCTGACCAGCCTGCAGGGCTGAGATAGTGACAGTGGTATCTCCCTGCATGGTGCTCTCTCATGGATGGGATGAAGAAGTTGGTCTTGTTCCTGGGCTCTGGTGGGCTCTGTTGGTACCAGGTCATGGGGTTTCCTTCCTTGGTGAGATAGTAACCCTGGGTATCCAGGGTCCCCTGGCACCAGAGGGTCATGGGGCTCTCCCAGGTAATCACAGAGCCTGGCTCAGCCCAGAGGCTGGGTTTGGGGAGGGTCCCTGGAAGAAACCACAGGCTGGGGTCCACAGACCTCCCCCGCTCCTCATTCCCAGCTCAGGTCACAGACCCTCTTGATTTTCTCACCCTCAGTTCAGAAGCCCCTGAGATGAGAGTCCAGGTGCTGAGTGTGAGGTCAGGCATGGGAGGTTAGCAGAGACTCACCTGCAAGTGCTTGGGCTTTCTGGCCCAGACTCAGCCATGGAGAAGAGTTTCCTGTGGGGGATTTGGAACACAGAGGTGTGGCTGCTTCCCTTCCTGTTGGAGCACCAGTAGCCACTGGAGCCCTGAGGCTCTCTGGTGAACAAGGCTGCTGTGGGACCCTCCCCACCTCAGCCCAGTGCCCCTCCTGTCCCTCGTCTCTCCACCACTGACTGAGGCACAGAAGAACAGTGAGGATGGACACCATGATGCCTGCTCTGCGTGCTCCAGCTGTGGGACAGGTGACCACATGGCCCTCCATGACAGACAGATGCACGGATGTGGTTAAGTCAGAGCCTGCTGCCGCCTGCCTGGGTCCCCACAGCTGTGAACCCACAGGAAGTGGACAGCCCCTTGCTGGGCCTGTCTCTTATTCCCCCCCCAGTGCAGGGGCTCAGGAGGACCCAGGCCCTCTGCACACATCTCAGCCCAGACCTGAGGTGTCCCCTGATTGCCAGGGATCCTTTGTCTGAAAACCTGCCCGTGGAGGGTGGACCCAACATCATATCTATGTCAGCTCCCAACTTAGCTGGGTCTAAACTGAAAACACAGCCCTTATTTTCTCAGAGCCTCCACTCATGACATCGGCTTTCTTTTTCCCCACTGATGCAAAGACAAATATTTCCCAGCAGAAAGTCATCCTGATCTGGAGAGACCCATTTCCTGCGTTCAGTAAATAAAGTCAGTTTCATTAGGGGAGGCTCTGGGAAAATAAGGGGATGCAGACTAGCAGAAGATGAACATTTAGCTACTTGTTTCTCAATTAATTGATTTATTACCAAAGAGAGAGAAGTGGAAACATGAGAATAGGGACCATGACTAGAATGTGGTTGAGGGAATGGTTTCTATCTTATTCCCTGGCAGAGAACTAAGGGATAAGAATGAGAAAGCTGGCTGGGTGCAGTGGCTTACACCTGTAATCCCAGCACTTTGGGAGGCCGAGGCAGGAAGATCACAAGGTCAGGAGTTCAAGACCAGCCTGACCAACATGGTGAAACCCCTGTCTCTACTAAAAATACAAAAACTAGCTGGGTGTGCTGGCATGCGCCTGTAATCCCAGCTACTAGGGAGGCTGAGGTGGGAGAATCGCTTGAACCTGGGAGGTGGAGCTTGCAGTGAGCCGAGATCGCGCCACTGCACTCCAGCCTGGGCAACAAAGCCGGACTGTCTCAAAAAAAAAAAAAAAAAAAAAAAAAAAGAAAGAGAGAAAACCCAGCAGTGAGAGGTAGTTGTGAGAACACACTAAAGAGGAAAGATAATCCAGGGCTGGGAGTGGTGGCTCATGCCTGTAATTCCAGCACTTTGGGAGGCTGAGGCTGGCAGATCACAAGGTCAGGAGTTCGAGACCAGCCTGACCAACATGGTGAAACCCTGTGTCTACTAAAAATGCAAAAATTAGCTGGGTGTGGTGGTGGGTGCCTGTAATCCCAGCTACTCAGGAGGCTGAGGTGGGAGAATCGCTTGAACCCAGGAGACGGAGGTTGCAGTGAGCTGAGATTGCACCACTGCACTCCAGCATAGGCAACAAAGCCAGACTCTGCCAAAAACAAAAACAAAAACAAAAACAAAAACAAAAAACAAGAAAGCTCAGTGAGAGGTGGTTGTGAGAACACACTAAAGAGGAAAGATCATTCAGGGCTGGGAGTGGTGACTCACGCCTGTAATCCCAGCACTTTGGGGGGCCACAGGCGGGTGGATTACCTGAGGGCAGGAGTTCAAGACCAGTCTGGCCAACATGGTGAAACCTCGTCTCTACTAAAAATACAAAAACTAGCTGGGTGTGATGGCGGGTGCCTGTAATCCCAGCTACTTGAGAGGCTGAGTCAGGAGAATCTCTTGAACCCAGGAGGCAGAGGTTGCAGTGAGCTGGGATCGTGCCACTGTACTCTAGCCTGGGTAACAGAGCAAGGCTCTGTCTCAAAAAAATAAAAATTAGAAAGAAAAAAGGAGAAGGAGAAGAGGAAGGAGACAGAAAGGAGAGAAACATCCCTGAGGTGGAACATTACATGCAACATGGAGTAGGCAGGGAATCCGATAGAGCACTGAAACTCTCGCTGGGTACGGTGGCTAACATCTGTACTCCCAGCACTTTGGGTGGCCGAGGTGGATGGATCACCTGAGGTCAGGAGTTTAAGACCAGCCTGACCAACATGGTGAAACCCCATCTCTACTAAAAATACAAAAGGCTGGGTGTGGTGGCTCACGCCTGTAATCCCAACACTTTGGCAGTCTGATACAGGCGGATCACATGAGATCAGGAGTTTGAGACCAGCCTGGCCAAGATGGCAAAACCTCATCTCTACTAAAAATACAAACATTACCTGGCTGTGGTGGCAGTCGCCTGTAATCCCAGCTATGCAGGAGGCTGAGGCAGGAGAATCGCTTGAACCTGAGAGGTGGAGGTTGCAGTGAGTCAAGATCGTGCCATTGCACTCCAGCCTGGCCAATAGGAGCAAAACTCCATGTGAAAATAAAATAAAATAAAATAAAATATAATAAAATAAAATAATAAATCAAAAAAGGACTGGACATCTCCTGTGGGTTGTCAGTGAATGGAACTAAGCAAGCCACCGCTCTTTCCCTTTTGTCCCGCAAGTGTCTTTCTTGGCCTCCAGGAAGTGAGTTCCATCATGTCAGACCCTATGTTTGTTCCTGCTGGGTTCACTGAGGCTCCTCCCTTTCCACCTGTGGCTCCCCATGGGTTCCCAGTCCCCAGCCAGTGTTGTGAATCGAGCCAGGAAGACCAGCCCTATCACACCCCTCCTGATGGAATTCCCACAGTGTCATCCTGGAGAACAGGGGCTGGGGGCTGGGGTAGGATCAGAGACCTTTTCATGTGGGCCAGGCCCCTCCCTCCACAGGAGCTCTGACACGAAGCTCATCACCATTCATTTCACCCTGACGATATTCTTCCTGCCCAGACACCCCCGTTCTCCCTATGTCATCATGGGCACCTCAGTGAAATCCATGGTTGAGGGTCTCTGTCACTTACTCTGCCCTCTTCTTGGAAAATTTCCTTGGATCCTTCCAGAGCCCTTCCTGAGTGTGCTGCAGGGTCTCTGCCACATGACACACTCTCAGGAACCCTCATCCTCCCCTTAATCTACTGCGCCCACATAGCCAGGTGCAGGCTCCGTTTCTTCATCTTCCCTTCCCCACAGGCCCCGATGGAGAGTGGATTAGACTCGCTCCTGAGTAGGGACTCAGGTCACTCTGACCCCTTCCTCCCTGTGGACGAGGCCTCTGTCCCAGAGCTTTGGAGGCTGAAGGGCCTTGTGGATTCCCGCACTGGCCACAGTCTCCGATGCAGATGGGGAACTGGGGACCTGGGAGGGGTTGCCTAGCCCAAGGCCACATAGCTGGGCGGTGGCACAGCCTTCACTCACACAGGGACATTCCATCTTCCCAGGGACTTCACACTGGAGGCTAAGAGCCCCACTTTGCACACCACATTCAGGGGTAGATTCTGTGTGTGACTAACAAGTTCTCTTAGGGTTCCGAGGTAACAGGACAGCAAATGGATGAGTGAGAGTTTCCCTCACCCCACTGAAGTAGGACCATTCTCTGTGGAGGGTTGGTCCCCTGACTTCCTCTACTCTGTCATCTCCCTAGTGACTGATAGGGGTCCTGGGGTCTCTTCCCTGGAATCCCATGAGGGACAATTCCTTTCCTGAAGGGAAGGTATAGAGAGGACTAGCAGGTGCCTGGTGATGGAAAGTCCCCATAATCAAGAGACATTGCCTCCCCCCCCCGGCATGATAAATATCTGGGTTTCCAAATGGGAAATCTGTCTGTGATGAGAGCTCAGGAGGGGCTTCTGGAAGATGGAAAAGGGCTAGAGGCTGAGGCCACTGCTTATCTCCCCACACTGTATCTGGCTTCACCTCCTGTGTTTGTCCTGACCTCTTCCTTCACTCACCTGGATAAGTAGGACCCCAAAGTGGGCCTCCAGACAGGAAGCAGTGGAGAGTGTGGAGCTGCCCTGTCTACCACCCTACACCCTGACACCACTGTCATACTCAACCTCTCTTTTCCTCTTTGTGTTTCTCATTGCTTCATTTTGTCTGGAATCCCTAAGATTCCCATGTCTCCAGCAGGCTGTCCCTCAGACGTGGCTATATGATTTAGTGTTTCACAGGGCATGCAGCAGGCATGGGCTACCCCCAGTAACAGTGGTCATCTAGGGCTGATCACTCACAGGCAGAGCCATCGACAGAGAGCTGCAGCATCTAGAGGTCCCATCACCAGCCCCAAGACCCAGAGAGAAGTTGGCCTGAATGCCCCACTCTGTCTCTGCACCCCAGTGAGCCAGTGTCCAGGGGCCTTACCTTCCTCGTTAGAAGGCACAGGTCAAATGAGCTTCCAGAGCTGCAGAGCAAAGTCACATTCTCTCCATCATTACTTACTGCAGGGCACAGTTGAGCTGAGAAGGAAGGTCTCTTGTAGACGCCTGGGGAAAAAAATAGTCCTTGACTGTCGAGCACAAGCCTTACCCAGCCTATCCTCAGGGCATGAAAAAGGCATTCTCTCCACCTGTTCTGGGGAGCACACTCTGTTACCCACTCGTGCCTCTCTCCATCTCAGTTCTAGCTCTACAAGCTGGCTCATCATGTGTGTGTTTTCCTGTCTGTCTTTGCTCAGCTTTTCCTTGAATCTCTTGCTTTTTGCCGGTGCGTGTGTGGCTTTCTGCCCTTAGAACCATATGAGATTTAGGGTTCTCCTGGCACATAGAACTGTTTACTTTGAGGACCCTCAGAAAACATAGCCCTGGGCTAAGGCTCCCTGTCCTGGAACTAGAAGGTTATGGGTGTCACCATTTCCCAACAGCATGTCTGAAAGTGCCAGAATCTTCAAAGAGTCTGCAACATGTTTGTAGGATCTTTATAGGGTCTGATATTGCAGGGACCAACCAAAGTGCCCTCACACCCCAAGACGCTGGAAGTGACCCCTTGCTGAAAGTGGTTGGAAGTTTCACATAGAAGTTTGAGTTAAGCCACATTGCTGAGCAATGCCTCAGCATCCCAGTCTTCATCCAGACCTTCCAGGAGCCTGGCTGGAGGGGGTGTCTCTGGTGTGTCACTGAGCCTTATAGCAGAGGAAGGGGGCTATGGTGGAAACTACCTCCAAGATACCACTCAGTCCTAAGCTGGGGAACAAGCTGAGCTTGGATTCTGGTAGTGAATGAACCGGGAAACATTTATTTGAAGGGTTCTAAGAGTAGCATCGTGTGGGTGCGTTAATTGTATGTGAAGGGGAAGATCCTGAGAAAACAAGAGCTGCTCCACTCTGTGCCTGGGTTTACCAGAGGGACCGATGAGGTCCTCACAAGACCCAGGAATCCCACCGGGGGAAGGAGGCTTAGGGAGATGTGTTTAAGACTGTTAAGTGAGTCACAGACAGAAGCAGATCAAGCCATCCCACCACCTAGGTTTGTGGTTTTGTTTCTCCTAAACTTCCTTTCTGTAAGTAGCAGAACCTTCTCATCACCATCCTTCAAAACCTCTGCATTGTTTGAGCTCCTTGTATTTTCTGGAGATTAATCTCTTGCTTGCAAATATTCTTTCCCATTCTGTAGGTGGTCTCTTCACTCTGCTGTTTGTTTCCTTGATTGTGCAGAAGGTTTGCAGTTTGCTATGATCTCATTTGCCTATTTTTGCTTTTGCTGCCTGAGCTTTTGAGGGTTTTTTTTTTTTGTTTTTTTTTTTGAGACGGAGTCTCGCTCTGTCACCCAGGCTGGAGTTCAGTGGCATGATCTCAGCTCATTGCAACCTCCGCCTCCCGGGTTCAAGTGATTCTCCTGCCTCAGCCTCCCTAGTAGCTAGGACTACAGGCGAGTGCCACCACACCCGGCTAATTTTTGTATTTTTAGTAGAGGCAGGGTTTCACCACGTTTGGCCAGGCTGGTCTCAAACTCCTGACTTCAAGTGATCCACCCACCTTGGCCTCCCAAAGTGCTGGGATTACAGGCGTGAGCCACTGCGCCCGGCGTTGTATTGGATTTTTAATTCAGCCCTATTTTCTCCGACATTTGATATTGGCATTTTTGTCTTTTTTGGATATGCTAGGATCATGGTGTCATAATTTAATTTTAATTTTTATTTTTATTTTAAGTTCCGGGGTACATGTGCAGAATGTGTGGGCTTATTGCATAGGTCAATGTGCGCCATGGTGGTTTCCTGCACCTGTCAACCCATCACCTAGGTATTAAGCCCAGCATACATTAGCTATTTTTCCTAATGCTCTCCCTACCCCTACCCCACCCCCCCCCCGACAGGCCCCAGTGTGTGTTGTTCCCCTCCCTGTGTTCACGCATTCTCATTGTTCAGCACCCACTTGTAAGTGAGAACATGCAGCGTTTGATTTCCTGTTCCTGTGTTAGTTTCCTGAGGATAATGGTTTCCAGCTCCATCCATGTCCCTGCAAAGGACATGATCTTGTTTCTTTTTATGGCTTCATAGTATTCCGTGGTGTATATGTCTCACATTTTCTTTATCCAGTCTATCATTGATGGGCATTTGGGTTGATTCTATGTCTTTGCTATTGTGAATAGTGCTGCGATGAACACATGTGTGCATGTATCTTTGCAATAGAATGATTTATATTCCTTTGGGTATACGCGCAGTAATGGGACTGCTTTTACCTGTGCCAAAATACTGAAGTAGAAATGATTATTCACTCTAAAATGGAAGGTAATAAGATGTATACGTGAGCTATCAGATGCCTGGTGCTTATGAGTGAAGACAAGTCTGTCCAACGCTTCCCAACCCTGCATTCAGGGATGTCTCGTTGGCATCTTGATTATGGCCATGAAAAAAGAATTTACGTC
This sequence comes from Homo sapiens, assembly GCF_000001405.40. Taxonomy (NCBI): domain Eukaryota; kingdom Metazoa; phylum Chordata; class Mammalia; order Primates; family Hominidae; genus Homo; species Homo sapiens. Next base: position 3,200 of record NW_016107313.1, on the reverse strand, counting down.
AAGGAAATTGGTAAATGCCACTAATCATAGCATTTCAAAAAATGTCTTTTTCAGAATTAGCATACCATTGGGTCGTGACTTCAAATGCCAGTGTGTTGATTCCAGGTGGTGATATTTCAGGAGAAACTACACAGATAGCATCTGATAAGGAGGGAAGAGCTCATAGGGTCCACACAGGAGGTGAGGGCATCACGGTGCATTTATCTTTTCCTGGTCGGACTCTGATCTTCTCCCGTTGAATTAGTTCCTAAACCAGGTGCGGAACTCTGAACTGAAGACATGAAGACCCAGTAAAGTACACCAGGAAGTGTGGCAATGAGAAATGAAGAGGACTGTGTGACACGCCATGGACCAGAGCATGCAGGTGTGCAGAGGTGTGGACCCAACGCTGCCATGTGGGATGGAGCCTCATGTCTAAGTGTGGGAAAAGAGGCAGATCCAACCAAGGAAAGTCAACATTAATGGAGAGGAAAGGTATCACATTTTAATGGTTCTCCATGGATCACCCCAGAAAATGTCCCTGCACTCGGACATTGATTCCTTCCTCTGGAAATGACCAGCAGACAGTCCAGATAGCATCGGCCCTAGATTTTCTTCCAGAACCTCCTGGGATCATCAGATCTGTTCCTGAGGCTTCACGACTCTATAAAGTACATTATCCTCTCTGCTGTTCACCTCCCGGCTGCATCTTGGGAAGCTTCTCTGGCTGTGCCAAGCCTCAAATGACAGAATCCCGAGGACCACCAGGATCAAGCCAGCCACGCCCATGTGGATGAGATTCTCCACTGCGTAATCCTGAAGGTGTGAGGCTGGGGATGGTGGACAAAGAGGTCACAGAGGTCAGGGTGGATCAGATTGTCCACCCAGGGCACCCACCTCCCCTTCACAGGACCCAACCCTCAGTGCCAGCCCCATCACTGAGAGTATCTCCTCACATACCAGTCTCAGAGTCAGACTTGTTTTGTGATGGGCTGAGGGTATCAGCTGCTCCAGAGAATCAAAACAGAGAAAAAGAGACCTGAGCCCAGCCTCTCACCTGGGCTCTGCAATTTTTTTTTTATTACTTAATGTCTCATGATGTGACTTTTACAGAATTTCTAAAAAAAAAAAAAAAAAACCTCTTCCTCCGCTAGCAGGATTCCCTCTAGTCTCCTCATTGAACGATTTCAGTTTTCCTGTGTTCTATGGATTTAAACATTGCTCCTGAGTCATCTGGGAGAGAGTTTTCCTGCATCCTGAGAGCTCAGGATCTGCAAGGAAAGTGGTCCCCAGTACAGAGGTCACTAAGGCCTGTGTGCTCTCTGTGCAGCCTGGGACACAGGAGAACATGAGCCAACTCCCCCGGAGATGAGAGTTTCACGGATCCACCAGCTGAGGACCCAGGCTCCGTGGATGAGGGTTAGTCATCAGGGGAGCCTCAATGTCAGAAGCACAAAGGGGTGAAATTCTGGGGCTGCCTCCCCTTCATGCCCTCAGCCACTTCACCTGGAGTTTCATTGTCCATTTAATCTCTAGGTAGCTAATTATTCGTATAGGCAGCAACAGGTAGAATGTGATACACACACAGAAAAACACAAACACAAATATATATCTGTTTTATATATATAGTGGGCCTTAAAAACTATCTCTGCCTTCTTGAAGTGTGGGTTCACCTGGAGACAAACAGCAAACATATAGAAACACAGCAGTGGAAATTTACTAGTCGTAGCAATGGTTTTAGATATATTGGTAGAGACCTATATTTATGTGTGAATATATATTATTTGTATAGATATACGGATAACTAGGTTTCAATGTCACGTAAGATGTTGGTGTGACCACACACGCGCACACACACACACACACGTATATGCAGAGAGTGGAAGAGAGAGAGAAGGAATTCAGCCGCATGGTGTAGGTTGGTTAATTACTTGACATAAATGAGAAGCAGGCAGGACTGGGCTGAGCTGTGTCGTCAGTGAAGGTCACACTTGGAGGTGACATTGAAGCTGATTCCTCAATAGGAAAAAGGGCCAGGAAGGAGGCGTGTGGAGACCCAGACAGGGAGCAACAGAGGCTCCAGAAAGAGCAGGTCCCAGAAAGGTCTCAGCCTGTTCTTCAGAAAGGAATGGCCGCTTGTCTACAGGGTGGAGGAGGAGGCAGAGGAGGAGGGGAGATGAGCTTCGGGGCCTTGGTGGATTGAGAATAGGCCAGGATGAACCGGCCAGGAAAGAGCGGCCCCAATATCTCTCTCTCTGTCTCTCTGTCTCTGTCTCTGCCTCTCTCTCCCTCCCTCTGAGGTCTGGAAAGTGCTGTAGGGTTTCAAGGAGTGGTACCAGTCATTTGACTTTTTCTGAAAAGATAAGCCCTACCCCCTCCATAGCAAATGTCCAGAACGAAGGAAGTCCACATTTCTACCTGAAGTTTACAAAACCTCAGGGAGCACGTGAGATCAGGGCTATTACGAAACCGGGTGAGAATAAAAATAGGTGATGCTGCAAATCTACTTTCACCAGCTTGGACAAAAAGGCCAATATGAGATTTTAAAAACCCAAATAAAAAATGTCAACGGCGCAGAAGAGGAGCGGTGCACATTCCCTGAGCTGCTGCGGGAGCACGTGCAAGTCCCTGTGAGGCTCAGGTGTGCGCTGAGTGCTGGGGAGGCTGCAGGGGAAAGCAGGAAGTGGGGCGGGGTGGGGGGGGGTCGGGGGTGGATGCAGGTGGCACCGGCAGCCTGGATGCTTCTCTCTCCAGGAGGGCGTCTGTTGGGGACTGGGACACAGAGGCTCTGATTCTGAGGTGGAGACACCAGGATGGGAGCAGGTGGGGCCTCCGTCTTCCACCCTCAGTCTAATCTCAACTCCTTTGAGGTTCACCCCCCGTCTCCTCCCAGCCCTCCCTGCACTTTACTCTACTGAGACTTCAGGGGTGGGAGCCAGGGGTGGGAGGTCCCTGTCTATTTCCATCTTCCCATGGGCTGGACCCTCCCCTGCGGACCCTCTCCCTTCACTCCCCTCTTTCCTTAGTGTCCAGAGCTCTGCTGGGGGCAGGGCCTGAGCTGAGCCTTTGAGCTCAGAGAGGACAGGGTCAGCGCCCTCACCTGAGACCACGAGCTCCACGGGGCCACTGGGGTGAGACAGCAGGTAGGGGTCGGAGCTGAGTGAGCCGTAGCACCTGTAGGTCCCCGTGTGGGCTGAGGTCACAGGACTCATGGGGAATTC